>NC_000012.12:71854067-72005582 GCF_000001405.40 Homo sapiens
TCCCACATCTCTCTCCTCACTGGACACCTTCTGAGTTTTCTCTCCCTTTCCCATAGCTGGGAACACACAACATAAAGCTAGACAATTGTATTGCTCACTTCATTTGGTTCCTTTCTCTCAATAGTCACTATCCTTCATTGTTTGCTGGGGAGTATCATGAAAACTATTGTTTCACAGATTGGTCAGTATTTTTAGTTTAGTTTATTATTATTATTATTTTTCTGGTGGGAGGTTAAATCCAGCCTGTCATTCCATCTTGGCCAGAAGTGGAAGTTTTTATATAGGGTTTCTTTTTCCTTTCTGTTTTTGGTGGAATTAATACCTATCTCTTCTGTACATCTTTTTTCCCCTTCAATCGTAGGCTGAATGTTTGTGTTCCAAATTTGTTCTCTTTGTTGTTATGAACTCTTAAGATGGTTTTTTCTCCCAAGATTTTACCATTTCCTTCTTGTTGGCCTGCATTAATTCTCTTTTCTGTTCTGTACCTTCTGACAGGCGACATTATCAGCAAGATATTCAAGAATTTTAACAGATGGTATGTATTTAGAGAATGTGCCAGTAGATGTTTGGATAGCTGAAGGTCATCATCATATACATAGAGTGGTTTTATACCAGTTTGTAATTTGTATTAAAGTGTCTTTTTTCTTCCTTCTCATTGATAGTCTGTATAATCTTCCAAAACAATTGCATTCCTCTCCCCCCCACCTTCTTTTGCAGATTCGCTTGGTGACAGGTGGTGCTACTTCCTCAAATCTTTGATCTGTTCTTCCCTTTCTTTTTCTCAAGGTATATTTTTTCATTGTTGAATTTGTATCATGTTTTCCATCAGACAAAATTCCTTCAGTACCCTTGAGATTTGATTTAGATCCTATTTAAGACTTTACATTTTGTGTATTAGTCCGTTATCACACTGCTATAAAGAAATACCTGAGACTAGGTATTTTATAAAGGAAAGAGGTTTAATTGACTCACGGTTTCGCATGGCTGGGGAGGCCTCAGGAAACTTCATGGCAGAAGGCGAAGGGGAAGCAGAAGCAAAGCATGTCTTACATGGCGGCAGGAGAGAGAGAGTGCTCAGGGGAAACTGCCACTTTTAAACCATAAGACCTTGTGAGAACTCCCTCACTATCCTGAGAACAGCATGGGGGAAACTGTCCTTATGATCCAGTCACCTCCCACTGGGTTCCTCCCTCAACGTGGGGTTTACAATTTGAGATGAGATTTGGGTGGGGATACAGTCAAACCGTATCATTTTGTGTTTATCACCAGTAATTTTTAGCATTTTTGTTGTAAAAATTCATATAGTGAAAATCATACTTACCATATAGCTGAATGAATCATAAGGCAAACTTGTAATCACAGCTTAGGTTAAAAAATAGACCTTTGCCAGGAGATTGAGACCATCCTGGCTAACACGGTGAAACCCTGTCTCTACTAAAAATACAAAAAAATTAGCCAGGCGTGGTGGTGTGTGCCTGTAGTCCCAGCTACTTGGGAGGCTGAGGCAGGAGAATGGTGTGAACCCGGGAGGCAGAGCTTGCAGTGAGCCAAGATCGCACCACTGCACTCCAGCCTGGGTGACAGAGCGAGACTCCATCTCAAAAAAAAAAAAAAAAAAAAAAAAAAGACGTTTGCCAATAACTCCAGATGACCTTCCACGTACCACCCCTTGTCTCCTAAGAAACAGTTATCCTAACTTTTATCATAATCACTTTCTTGCATTTCTTTATTAGTAGTAGTATTAAAACATAGCTATTGTGTCTTTTTTAAAAAATGGTTCTTCCATATCTTCTACTTAGTATTACTGGGTTTTTAAGAGTTTTGTTTTTCTTAATCAGTTGCACCTTTTGTCTTGTTATTGTATGTGGTTTTTTTTGGGGGGGGGTATCTTGTTCAAATTTCAATTTAAATTCATTTAATCAAATACATTATTTCTTGATTTTAAAAGATTGGACCATACAGAAATTATGGTTCACCCTGCCCCCATACTGCCAAACCACCCAACTTGATTTTGACACTATGTATCCTTTGAGCAGTTTTCGTATTCATTGTTCTCTGCCAGATGAACTGGAAGATGAAATGAAAACGTCATTTATATCCCCATTAGAGATGTATTTTAGATAAGTTTTTGCCATATAATTTGTTCCCTTGTAAAATATCTCAAATTAGTAAGTTGTTAGGCTTGGGGGTCTTATATAGACTTTTAGTAATATCTCAGATATGGTCTGGGAAACTGATTAGGCTATTCCGTTTTTACATATTGATGCCTCTGTATCCCTAAGGTAACAGTCATGAGAATGTATTGCCTATACATTCTTTTGCTGTTTTAGATGCATGGTGCTGATTCTTTGTAGAATTTGGCTTCTTATGGGAGGAGTCTCCAACATGTTGCATGTCTCTGGTAGTGTAGACTTTTGTTTAAGTCTTTTTCTTCTTTTAGCCTTCAATTTGCCAGATTCCTGATTGTAATTTCCATTGACCTTTACCTTCTTGGGATATATATTTTTTTCTTTTTTTTCCTGACTTATTTTTTTTCTACTGTTCCTGTGAGCTCTTCATTTTCTCTCAAATCTTAGGTAGTAGAAAGGAAGAAAGGGACTGCTGATGCTCTTTCTTTGCTTCCTGTAGTACAGAGGACCTACTCATGTTCACAGCACTGGTAGTTGGTGAATACTACAGATTGGGATGCAAACAGCACGTAGGATATTGGAACAATTTTGTCAGTGTCCATATATGCTGAGCCTTAAGTTGATAGCCTTTTTCATTATGTACTCTTTGGGCAAATAAAACTTGTAGAGTAGACCTTTGAGTCTCAGCCCCAGAGCAGTGGAAGAACCTTGAGCAAATCACTTGATTTTCTTGCAGTTTTTTCAGTTACAAGATGGGAATGATAATATCTATCTAACTGAATTTTGAGGGTCAGATGTGATAACATAGAAATGTTTTCGTAAAGTAATGCGTAATAAAAATATTACATAGCAGATAAAAGCATTTGAAGCTTTCTTTTAAAATTTTTTAAATTTAATTTTTTTAAATTTATTATTTTTTTTCTTAAGAGATGGGGGTGGGGGGGCATCTTGCTTTACTGCCCAGGATGGTCTTGAACTCCTGGCCTCAAGTGATCCTCCTGCCTTGGCCTCCCAGTGTCCTGGGATTACAGGTGTGAGACACTGCGGCTGCCCAGAACCTTTTAATTTTTGCGTTAGAGATCATGAATAAAACTAGAGTGAAGAAATTGAAAGCTTATTCTACTAACAAATGTTATGTGAGATGAAATTATTCACATCATAATTGTTCCCTGTAACAAAATAATTTTTTTGTGACAAATATGCATAGAGATAACTTTTCAAATATCAATTATTACAATTGATAAACATAAGAAGCAGAATGTTCTATGGCAGGATGATACTACTCAGGAATCAATTCATGACAGAGTAATTAAGAAATATCTTCATTATATATTATTGAAGTTTTAGTTGGACTTTAAAAAATCTAGATTTTGCTTTTATTTTTAATTGGCACATAATAATTGTACATATTTATGGGGTACAGTGTGATAATCTGATATATGTATATAATGTGTAATCAAATCTTAGTATATTTATCACTTAGAACATTTATTCTTTGTGTTAGAAGCATTCATGATCTGCTCTTCTATTTGAAAATATACAATAAATTGTTAATTATATCATGTGATAGTGCTGTAGAACGTTAGAATTTATTCTTCCTGTCTAGCTGTACTTTAGTATTCATTAACCAACCTTTGTCTATTCCCCTTTCCACAACCCTTCTCTGCCTGTGGTAACTGCTGTTCTACTTTCTACTTCGTTGAAGCCAACTGTTTTAGCTTCCACGTAAGAGAACATGTGGTATTTATCTTTCTGTGGCTGGTGTATTTTACTTAACATATATCCTCAATGCTCATCCATGTTACTGCAAACGACAGGATTTTTTTCATTTTTATGGCTTAATAGTATACCATTGTGCATATATGCAACATTTTCTTTCTTTCTTTTTTTTTTGAGACGGAGTTTCGCTCTTCTTGCCCAGGCTGGAGTGCAGTGGCGTGACCTCGGCTCACCGCAGCCTCCATCTCCTGGGTTCAAGCGATTCTCCTGCCTCAGCCTCCTGAGTAGCTGGAATTACTGGCATGTACCACCACGCATGGCTTATTTTGTATTTTTAGTAGAGATGGGGTTTCTCCATGTTGATCAGGCTGGTCTGGAACTCCCGACCTCAAGTGATCTGCCCACCTCGGCCTCCCAAAGTGGTGGGATTACAGGTGTGAGCCACCATGCCCGGCCACCACATTTTCTTTATCCAGTCATCTGTTGATGGACTCTTAGATTGACTCCGTATCTTGGCTATTGTGAATAGTGCTGCAGTAAACTTGGGAGTGCTTCTTTGACATGCTGATTTTCTTTTTTTTTTTTTGAAATATAGTCAAAAGTGGGATTACTGGATCATATGCTAATTTTTTTTTCTTTTTCTTTTTTTTTTTTTTTTGAGATAGAGTCTCTTTGTTGCTCAGGCTGGAGTGCAGTAATGCAATCTTGCCTCACTGCAGCCTCCCAGTTTCTGGGTTCAGGCAGTTCTCCTACCTCAGCCTCCTGAATAGCTGGGACTACAAGCATGTGCCACCATGCCTGGCTAATTATTTTTATATTTTTTTAGAGATAGGGTTTCACCATGTTGCCCAGGCTGGTCTTGAACTCCTGAGCTCAAGCCATCTGTCCGCCTTGGTCTCCCAAAGTGTTGGGATTACAGGCTTGAGCCATCATGCCTGGCCACTGTTTTTAGTTTTTTGAGGAACTTTCATACTGTTTTCAGTAGTGCTTGTACCAATTTACATTCCCACCAGCAGTGTATAAGAGTTATCTTTTCTCCATATCCTCACCAGCATTTTTTTTTTTTTTTGTAGTTTTGATGACAAAAAATTAGTCATCAGTTAATTAGCCTTTCTGGGATGAGATGGTATCTCATTGAGATTTTGATTTGTATTTTCTTGCTAATTAGTGATGTTGAACATTTTTTTCATATACCTGTTAGCCATTTGTATGTTTTTTTTGTCATCGTCATTTTTAAATGTAGATACAGAGTTTATTTGGGCCAAGATTGAGGATTGCAATCCAGTAGCATAGATTCAAGTTGCTCTGAATATAAACTTCCTGTATGTCTTCTTTTGAGAGATACCTATTTAGCTTATTTGCCCATTTTGAAATTGGAGTATTTTTTTTTCTGTTGAGGTTTTCGACTTTCTTGTATCTTCTGGATATTAAACCCTTGTTGGATGTATAGTTTGCAGGTATTTTCTCCCATTCTATAGGTTGTATCTTCATTTTGTTGCTTGTTTCCTATGCTATGCAGAAGTTATTTTGATGTAATCTTGTTTGTCTGTTTTTGCTCTTGTTGCCAGTGCTTTTGCATTCTTCTCTGTAAAATCTTTGTCCTGACCAGTGCCCTGAATAATTTCCTCTAGTAGTTTTTGAAACATTTTCTTGTAGTAGTTTCATAGTTTTGGATCTTACATTTAAGCTTCAATCCTTTTTGTTTTTTTTGAGATGGAGTCTCACTATGTTGCCCGGGCTGGAGTGTAGTGGCGTGATCTCAACTCACTGCACCCTCTGCTTCCCAGGTTCAAGCGATTCTTCTGCCTCAGCCTCCCGAGTAGTTGGGATTACAGGCACCTACCACCATGCCCAGCTGATTTCTTTTGTATTTTTAGTAGAGATGGGGTTTCACCATGTTGGCCAGGCTGGTCTTGAACTCCCAGCCTCAGGTGAGCTGCCTGACTTGGCCTCCCAAAGTGCTAGGATTACAAGCATGAGCTACCATGCCTAGCCTTTCAATCCATTTTGAGTTGATTTTTGTATGTGGTGAGAGGTAGTGTTCTAGTTTCATTTTTTCTGCATATACATACCTAGTTTTCCCAGCGCCATTTGTAGAAGAGACTGTTTCTTCCTCAATGAATGTTCTTGGTGACTTTGTCAAAAATCAGTTGGCTCTAAATTTATTTCTGGGTTCCTTATTCTCTTTAATTGGTCTGTGTATGTTTTTATGTCAGCCCCATGCTGTTTTGGTTACTGTAGGTTTGTAGTACATTTTGAAGTCTGGTAGTGTGAGGCGTCCAGCTTTGTTCTTTTTGTTCAGGATTGCTTTGGCTTTTTGGGATCTTTTGTGGTTCCATATGAATTTTAGGATTGTTTTTCAATTTCTGGGAAGGTTGTCATTGGTATTTTGATAGAGATTGCATTGAATGTTTAGATTGCTTTTGGTATTGTGGTCATTTTCACAATATTAATTCTTCCAATCTATGAACATGGATGCCTTTATTTTATGTCCTCCTTAAGTTTTCATCAGTGTTTGTAGTTATTCTTGTACAGATCTTTCACCTTGGTTAAATTTATTCCTACATTATTTCCTTTTTTGTTTGTAGCTATTATAAATGGAATTGCTTTCTTGATTTGTTTTTCTGCTAGTTCATTGTTGCTGTATAGAAATACTACTAATTTTTGTTCGTTGATTTTGTGTCCTGCAACTTTATGTAATTAATCAGTGTTAGGAGTTTTTTGGTAGAGCTTTTAGGGTTTTCTATGTGTAGGATTATATCTGCAAACAAGGATTCTTTACAATTTGGATGTCTTTTCTTTCTTTCTCTTGCCTAATTGCTCTGGCTAGGACTTCCAGTACGGTGTTGACTAAAAGTGGTGAAAGTGGCCATCCTTGTCTTGTACCAGATCTTAGAGAAAAACTTTGAACTTTTCCCTGTTAAGTATGATGTTGGCTGTAGAGTTCATTGTGTTCAAGTATGTTTCTTCTACTAACTTGCTGAGAGTTTTTATCATGAGGGATGTTTAATATTATAAAATGCTTTTTTTCCTGTCTATTGAGATGATCGTATGATTTTTATCCTTCATTCTAATGATGTGATATATCACATTTATTGATTTGCATATGTTGAACCATCCATGCATCCTGGGATAAATTGTGTTTGATCATGGTCAGTGATCTTTTTAATGTGCTGCTGGATTCCACTTATTAGTATTTTGTTGAGAATTTTTGCATCTGTATTCATCAGGGATATTGGCCTATGGTGTTCTTTTTTTGTTGTGTCTTTGTCTAGTTTTGGTATTAGGGTAATGCTGCCCTTATACAATGAGTTTGGAAAAATTGTTTCCTCTTCAGTTTTCTGGAAGAGTTTGGGAAGAATTGACATTTGTTCTTCTCTAAATGTTTGGTAGAATTCCACAGTGAAGCCATTGGGTTTTGGGCTTTTCTTTAATGGGAGACTTTTCATTACTGATTCAAACTTACTGTACTGTAATTGTTTTTTTCAGGTTTTTGGTTTCTTCTTGATTCAATCTTGATAAGTAGTATGTGTCCAGGACTTTATCCATACTCCAGTTTGTTGGAGTATGGTAGGAGTATGGTAGGTAGTCTCTCTAATGATCCTTTGTATTTCTGTGGTATGTTTTAATGTATAGTTTTTAAATTTCTGATTTTATTTGGGTCTTTTCACTTTTTTTCTTGGTTTGTATAAGTAATGGTTTGTCAATTTTGGCTGCCTTTAACTAATAAGTCAACTTTGTTCTGTAAATTTTTTTTTTGTCTCAATTTTATTTCTGTTTTGATCTTTATTGTTTCTTTTCTTCTATTCACTTGTATTTGGTTTGTTATTGTTTTTCTAGTTCCTTGACATGCATTGTTCAGTTGTTTATTTGAACTCTTCCTGTTTTTTTAATGTAGGTGTTTATTGCTATAAACTTCCTTCTTAATACTACTTTTGCTGTATCCCATGGGTTTTGGTATGTTGTGTTTCTATTTTTGTTTGTTTCAAGAAATTTAAAAAAATTACTTAATTTCTTCTTTGGCCCATTGGTCATTCAGAAACGTTTAATTTTCATGTATTTGTACAAATTTGCAAGTTCTTGTTTCTGATTTCTAGTTTTATTTCATTAGGGTCAGAAAAGATACTTCTTATAATCTCAGTTCTTTTAAACTTGTTTAGATTTGTTTGTTTAGTGGTCTAACATGTTCTGTCCTAGGGTATTGGCCATGTGTTGATGAAAAGAGTGTATTATGCAGCTGTTGGATAAAATGTTTTGTAAATGTCTGTTAGATTCATTTGGTCTAAAGTGCAGCTTAAATCCATTTTTTTTTTCTTGTTGATTTTCTGCCTAAATGATCTGTCCAATGCTGAGGGTGGGGTGTTGAAGTCCCCAACTGTTACTGTATTGGAGTATAGCTATCCCTTTAGAGCTAGTATTTTGCTTTATGTATCTGGGTGCTTTGGTGTTGAGTGCATATATATTTACAGTTGTTATATCCTCTTGCTGAATTGATCCCTTTTTCATTATATAATAACCTTCTTTGTCTCTTTCTACAGTTTTTGATTTTTAAGTCTGTTTTATCTGATACATGTAAAGCTACTGCTGCTCTCTTGGTTTCAGTCTGTAGGTGTCTTTACAGATGAAGTGAGTTTCTCGTTAGCAGCATATAGTTGGGTCATTTAAAAAATTCCATTTATCCAGTCTGTATCTTTTATGTGGGCAATTTAATTTGTTTACATTCAAGATTGTTATTGATAGGTGAGGATTTATTCCTCTCATTTCGTTAATTGTTTCTGGTTGTTTTGTATATCCTTTGTTCCTTTTTTGCTCTCATAGTTTATCATTGAAGTTTGGTGGTTTTCTGTAATGGTAAGATTCGATTCTGTTTGCTTTATTCTTTGTGTATCTGCTCTAGCAATGAGTTTTATACTTTTGTATGTTTTCATGATAGTAATTTTCATCTTTTTTTCCTTCCAGATATAGGACTCCTTTGAGCAGTTCTTATAAGGCCAGTCTAGTAGTGATAAATTCCCTCAGTTTTCACATGTCTGGAAAAGACTTTTATTTCTCCCTGATTTGTGAAAGATAGCTTTGCTAGATATAGTATTCTTGGCTGGAAGTATTTTTCTTTCATCACATTGAATATATCATCTCATACTGTCCTGGCCTATAAGATTTCTAAGGAAAAATCTGCTTTTAGGCCGGGTGTGGTGGTTCACGCCTACAATCTCAGCACTTTGGGAGGCTGAGGCGAGCGGATCACGAGGTCAGGAGATCGAGACCATCCTGGCTAACATGGTGAAACCCCGTTTCTACTAAAAATACAAAAAATTAGCCAGGTGTGGTGGCGGGCACCTGTAGTCCCAGCTACTCAGGAGGCTGAGGCAGGAGAATGGCATGAACCTGGGGGACGGAGCTTGCAGTGAGCCAAGATTGTGCCACTGCACTCCAGCCTGGGCGACAGAGTGAGACTCTGTCTCAAAAAAAAGAAAAGAAAAGAAAAGAAATCTGCTTTTAATCTAACAGGGACTTCCTTATATGTGACTTGACGTTTTTTTCCTGCTGTTTTTAGAATTCTCTTTTGACAGTTGGACTATAATGTACCTTAAGGAAGACCTTTTTAGGTTGAATCTATTTGGGGACTTGTGAGCTTTCTGGATCTGGATGTTTTTTATATCTCTCTTCAGACTTGGGAAGTTTTCAGTTACTGTATTAAATAGGTTTTCTATACCTTTTCTTGTCTCTCATCACTTTGGAAGTGCCAAAATAGGAATATATGCTTGCTTAATGGTGTCCCATAAGGCATATAGGCTTTTGTCACTCTTTTTTTTCCCCTCACTGAATAGGTAATGTTAGACTACTTATTTTTAAATTCAGAGATTCTTTTGCTGATCAGGTCTGCTGTTGAAGCTCTCTTTTATTTTTTTATTTTATCATTGAATTCCTCAGCTGCAGAATTTCTGCTTGGCTCTTTTTTTATTATTTCTATTTCTTTATGGAATATCTCATTCATATCATGAATTATTTTCCTGATTTTATTGAATTATCTGTATTTTTTTTGTATTTCATTGTGTTTCCTCAAGGTTATTATTTTGAATTCCTTTTGTTGATTTCTTTTTCACTAGGGTCTGCTACTAGAGAATTGTTATGTTCCCTTGGTGGTGTCCTATTTTCTTGCTTTTTTTTTTTGAGACGGAGTTTCCCTCTTGTTGCCCAGGCTAAAGTGCAATGGCACCATCTTGGCTCACTGCAACCTCTGCCTCCTGGGTTCAAGCGATTTTCCTGTCTCAGCCTCCTGAGTAGCTGGGACTACAGGCACGTGCCACCATGCCTAGCTAATTTTTGCATTTTTAGTACAGATGGGGTTTCACCATGTTGGCCAGGATGGTCTTGATCTCTTGACCTCATGATCTGCTCACCTCAGCCTCCCAAAGTGCTGGGATTACAGGTGTGAGCTACTGCACCCGGCTGCTTTTTGTTTTCGTTTCATGTGTGCCTCCATTGATGTCCTTGCATCTAGTGGAACAATTCCCTTTCTAAACTCTGTAGAGTGGCTTTTATAGAGAATGACTTTCACCTGCAGTTGAGTGTTTTTTTTTTTTGTTTGTTTGTTTGTTTTGTTTTGTTTGAGATGGAGTCTCGCTCTGTTGCCCAGGCAGGAGTGCAGTGGCATGATCTTGGCTGACTGTAATCTCTGCCTCCTGGGTTCAAGCAGTTCTCTGCCTCAGCCTCCCGGGTAGCTGGGATTACAGGCGCCTGCCACCATGCCCGCCTAATTTTTGTATTTTTAGTAGCGATGGGGATTCACTGTCTTGGCCAGGGTGGTCTTGAACTCCTGACCTTGTGATCCACCTGCCTTGGCCTCCCAAACTGCTGGGATTACAGGCGTGAGCCACCGTGCCCGGCCTACCTACAGTTGGGTTTTAATTTGTTGGTTGAGAAGGGTGTAGTGATTGTTTCCGAATAGGTGCAGTGGTATAGTATCCACGTAGCTTATTTAGCTGCTTTCAGTATCAGCAATAATTGTGGGCACCTCAGTGGCGTAGGTTGTAGAATTTTGTGGCAGCAGTGGTAATGTCCTTGCTGTCAAGGGCTTTTGGGGTTCTCCTAGTCTCATTTTCCTCACAACAGGAGACTTAGCTGAGGGTGTCTAAGTCCTTTTTGGTGTCAGATTTGTTGTGGCCCATAAGCAGCTGCAGTGGCACTGTATTCTATGTGTAGGTGCTTGGAGCAGCTGTGGGTTTCCATGTCCAGGCTCAGCATCTTATAAACCTATTTTGTCATCTGGGTCTTGGGATGCAGGTTTGCCTGCTCTGGCTGTGTTGGATGTAGGTTGCCCACAGAGCCAGGATGTATGACACTGAGTCACTCTCTAGCAGCTTGGGCCCAGGGGGCTGGGTTGTAGCTGTGATTCTCTTAACTGGAGGGCAGGGCACAACACTGGCCTGACTCCTGGGAAGAAGGGGTACTTTGAAGGTTTGGGCCTGGGGAGCAGGGTGTGGCTACAGTTCAGGAATCTGAGCCAGTAGGGTTCAGTGGTAACGTGGATCTCAGGGGATGAGGTCCTGGGTAGTAGTGACTCAAGACCTTGGGATGGTGGGGCTTGGCAGTATCCAGACTCTGTGAGTCGAGGTGCAGTAGCAGCAAGTACCTCAGAATGGCAGAACACAGCTGTGGTTTGGGCCCCAGGAGAGGGGGTAGGGAATAGCACAGTGATGACTTTATTCCCCAGGGAGAGGAGTATCTCAGCAGCTTAGACTCTGGAGTGCTAATCCAGCTCCAGGGAAGCAAGGTACTAGAGTTGTTTGGCCTGTAGTGTGGGCTATCTAGCTCAGCATGGCTGTGTTTCTCTCGGATATGGGGTACTGTGTCAGCTCAGCCTGGGGATGTGTAGCTGCTCAGCTCAGGCAGGGCACCAGTTTCCCAGGGAGTGATATGCCCTTTCAGCTTTGGCCTGGTGGGGTGTGACTGTTCTGTGCAGCTCAGGCACATTTCCCTGGGACGGAAGGTGCCACTTCAGCTTGGGTACTGGGGTGTGTTACTGCTCTGGGTGGCCAAGGCACTGTTTCAACTTGGGAACTGGGGATATGGGACTGCTCTGAGTGGCCAAAGTCCTGTTTTCCCAGAAGGCAAGATGCCACTTCTAGCTCTGGCCTGAGGGGGTGAGGGCAAGTGTACGTGGACTGACTCTGTTTCCACTTGGCCCCACAGGGAAGGGTGTACCAACTTTTCACAGCTGGCTTGGGGATGGGCCAGTGGGCTGGGGTGGTTCGGTGGTTGCTTAGTCTCAGTGATGAAGGGAATCTGTGGCTACTTGCCCCTAGAGCAATACACATTCTGCCACAGTTCCAGTTCCAAGATGGCATAGTGGAGTAGTCTTTTGGGCCACAAGGACAGATGCGGTATCTTCTCCTCTCTTGGGGGAGCACAGCTATTTAGACTCGAGGCAGCTCCCTCAGCTGGGGTTAGTGCCTGTGAGGACTGCAGGGACTGGTGAAGTCTGTAGGTGTCTAAGTTGTTGGTGGAGGCTGCTGGTATTCTCTTGTTTACATCCTTGCTTTAGGAAGAAGTTCCTCCTGGTTCCCAGATGATCTCAGCTCTGGGATGGAGTGATGGGATCCCAATATTTCCTTGTTTCTCTATGTGGCCATCCTGAGTTTCTGTGTGCTCACAAGGGTTTCTGTTATTCCTATGATGCACTCTAGTGCTCTCCCTCAGTTATTATTTTTATTTTTAGAGACAGAGTCTTGCTTATGTTGCCCAGGCTAGTTATGAACTCCTAGGCTCAACCAGTCCTCCTGCCTCGACCTCTCAAAGTGCTGGGATTACAGGCATGAGCCACTGTGCCTGGCCTGTCTCCTCAGTTATTTTTGTTAAAATGTAGTTGTTTGTTCATTGTTTTGGTTGCTTGTTGCGGGTTGGGGAGAGATGAGCCCTAGGGCCTTCTAGACGACCATCTTGCTGACACCAGTCTCTGGACTTCTGTTTTTGTATTTTGGGCTATTTAAAATAGTTGGTATTTGAGAGTTGTGATTTTTGTATTTTAATAAACACATGTGCTTAGACATTAGGGTGATGAACAGATATGTCATATGAATAAAACATAAGATCACACCCTTAAAAAATAGATTGAAGGACTACAATATTCAATGAATGATCTAAACCAAGATGATATGAAAAGGGTTAAGCTTCTTGTGTAGAATATTTAGGAGTTCAGATGAGAGTAAGGGTTTTTGTTTAAAGGCCAAATGCTCCTGCATTGGTTTATAAATGTAGACATTTAAAAATTGGTTTTTAGTTCTGAAGCAGCATTGTTTTCTGCATTTAAGCCATTTCAGGAACTGTTGTCCTCTAGGGAAGCCATGTGGAAATTTTCTGGTAGTTTCTTTAGGCAATAACAGTTATGATTTAATGGATGAATGTGTCAGGAAATCTGTGATTGGTGACTTTACTGAAGACCACATATTTATCCAAGGAAAGACTGGATTACAGATTTCCTGGCAGTTCTTTCCTCAATTTATTCTTTTCATAAAATAGAGATGTAGATAACAATACTGGTTTTGACTTATTCAGGGTGGCTGTGAGGATTTAAGTGAGATCAGGGTACTTTGGAAACAAGGTGCTACAGGTTGATTATCCCTTATTCAAAACTGGGGACCCAAAAGTGTTCTGAATTTTGGAATATTTGCAGTATACTGGTGGAGGATCCCCACTCCAAATACCTGAAATCCACAAAGTGTTCATTAAAAACAAAAAATCATTTATTTATTCTTTAGAGACAGGATCTTACTTTGTTGCCCAGGCTGGTCTGGAACTCCTGGGCTCAAGCAGTCCTCTCATTTTGGCCTTCCAAAGTGCTGGGATTACAGGCGTGAGCCACCGTACCCAGCCAAGGAAGTGTTCCAAGGTCCATTTCCTTTGAGCTTGAAGCTGGTGCACAAATTTTGGAGCATTTCAGATTTAAGATTTTTGGATTAAGGATGCTCAACCTATATTTAAGTTAAAACAATTATCACTAAGTGATTTTATATTGGAAGTAAATTATGTACCAATGCAACTATTTTTTTCCTGTGCCCTTAAGTCTTATAAAATATAAGACTTTGTAAGATTTAGTAGCTATTACAAATTAATAAATTTATTAATTTTATTTGCCATTTCTGACAGAAGTGTTACTTTGTATCAGTTAACATCACACCCTTCAAAATTAGAAAGCTAAACATGACTTCTTTCTGAAGACAGTATAAATGTGGTTTGGAATTAGGAGTTTTGGGATGTATAATTTGTTCCTCAAAAAGGGCTGAAGAGTTGAGGAACACAGAATACAGAATGAGTGCAGCTTTGACTTTTTTTTTTTTTTTTTTTTCTCGAGACGGAGTCTCGCTCTGTCTCCCAGGCTTGAGTGCGGTAGCACGATCTCGGCTCACCGCAAGCTCTGCATCCTGGGTTCACTCCATTCTCCTGCCTCAGCCTCCCGAGTAGCTGGGACTACAGGCACCCGCCACCATGCCCGGATAATTTTTTCTATTTTTTAGTAGAGACGAGGTTTCACCGTGTTAGCCAGGACGGTCTCGATCTCCTGACCTCGTGATCCACCCACCTCGGCCTCCCAAAGTGCTGGGATTACAGGTGTGAGCCACTGTGCCCGGCCAGCTTTGACTTTTTTGTAAGGTGTCTGTCACTTTAATTCTTATTATTTCCCCAGCTAAACTACTTAGGAAACTCTTTCAACTTTTTCTTAAGTGAAAAAAAATAGGCAACACTTAACCAACAAATGTAAGAGGAAGAGTTGCTTAATGTGCCTAAATAAGGTAAAGTGTTTTATTTGATTGTATAGGGTTCACCTTGTTAAAGTTCTAGAATCTCTTTAGTGTTAATGGTATCATAGAACCTTAGATTGCATTGTTAATGATAGCAAGCTTTTCTTGCCAAATGAGTGTCTCTTTTTCCACTATGAGAGTTAGGAAGTTCCCGACTATTCTACTAGCTGAGTCTTACGTGAAAATATGCTGAAGTGTTATTTCTGAGTATGTCTCTGATCCATTTGTCACAAAAACTTGAGAATATTTTTTCTCAATATCTTTTTTAAAATAAATTTTATTATGTACATTTGAGGTTTACAACATATTATGGGATACATACAGATAGTAAAATGGTTACTGTAGTGAATTAGATGAACATATTTGTCATCTCACATAGTTACTTTTTTGTGACAACAGCAGCTAAAATCTACTTATTTAACTGGAGGATAGCATTATGCTATGTGAAATAAGCAGATACGGAAGGAAAAATAATTGTGGGATTTCACCTATATGTGGAATATGTATAATTAAAAAAACAACTCAGGGCTGGGTGCTGTGGCTCATGCCTGTAATCCCAGCACTTTGAGAGGCCAAGGTGGGCAGGTCACCTGAGGTCAGGAGTTTGAGACCAGCGTGGCCAACGTGGTGAAACCCCATCTCTACTAAAAACAGAAAAATTAGTCGGGCATGGTGGTGCATGCTTGTAATCCCAGCTACTCGGGAGGCTGAGGCAGGAGAATCACTTGAACCTGGGAGGCAGAGGTTGCAGTGAGCTGAAATTGTGCCACTGCACTCCAGCCTGGGCAACAGAGCAAAACTGTGTCTCAAAAACAAAACAAAACAAAACAAAACAAAACTCAAGTACAGAGAATTAAACAGTGGTTACCACTAGTCAGGGTTGCTAGGAAATGGAGAGATGTAGGTCAAAGGATAGAAAATAGATACATATGCTGAACAAGTCTAGAGATCTAATGTACAACATGCAGACTAAAGTTAATAAAATTGTATTGCAGAAGGTGGAGATTTTAAGGGATTTCTTTTCCATTTTTCATATCTTTTTTTGTGTTCCTAGGTATGAGCATCTGGTTCACCCTCCTGTTTGATAAACTGAAGTCTAGAAAATTTAGTTTATACTTCTGGACTTTCCTTTTTTCATGTTACTCTTTAAAATTATTTTTAAATATATGACTATATTTTCGCTTTGAAATATTCAAATAAGTCAGAGGCATTAACATAGAAAGTTAACAGTTCCTGTTTCAACCTTTTCTCATCCTACTCTCCTGAAGTAGTCTTTGTTAATACCTTAAAGTATCCTCCCAGAATTTGTTCTGTATATTTCACACAGATAGAAACTTCATAAAAGTGTAAATGTCAGCATACTATATATACATGATGATTTTTCTGTGTGCATTGTCTGTTTCCCCATCCATTTAATCTGCCTCATCCTATAACTCCAGAATAGTATCCCCCAAAGAATGGATATCCCAGGATATATTTGATAATTTTCCTATTTGTGAATATTTAGATGCATACCCTCCCTTTCCTCCTCCCCTTCTCCTCCTTCTCCTTCCTCTAACATTATAAATAATACTGCTGTGAATATTCTTATGCATATTTTTGTACATTTATCTGTAGGCTTTAAAATTTTTCATCTCTGTACAAACAGTATAGAATTATCTCCCACCCTTTCTCAGCTCATCCTATCCCCATGTAAGCTTCTGTTTATATGCTGGTCTGATGCTTAACAGCTATTTCAGGAAAGGCCATCTTACTTAGGTTTTTGAAATCAAAACTTCCTTGGTGATCTTAATTACTTAAAAGACTGTTTCCTGACATAAGTCCATATCACAGTTGATTAACATAACACATCCGAGAGAGGCAGTAAAAGTAATGTGGAACCTTTATAATGTAGTGGCTAAGAGCGCAGTTTTCTGTTGTCAGACTCCTTGGGTTTCAGTTTCATCACCACCGGTTATTATTTGCCTCATTTGGGCAGTTATTTCACCACTTTCAGTTGTCTTATTCACACAAATGGGCTTCTCATCCCAATGATGTAGTAGAATGTAGTTATATAATCTGTGATTTAGGGTGGTTGTAAGGATTAAGTTACAATATAAGGAGTTCCTAGTGTATAAGTGTTCCGTAAATGTTAGCTAAAAACAGGAAGATACATACCTATTTACATTTATGAATGAAGGAGTGATAGACTCTGATAGTGCTTGTCTTGCATTGCTGACCCATGATATTCTGAAGACTAATATTAATAAAAGGTCTACAGAAATAGAATAATATACACTATTGACCAGACTTATATATGTGAAAAGTTCTTAGGTCTAGAAGTGACTGTTTTTTACTTATTTTCATAATTAAAAAAATTTTTAAATGGTTTGAAATGGGTCTCAAGAATGGAATCTCAATTTATAACATTATGTCTATGAAAAATGAGGCTTAACCTTAAATGTTTAAACTTACTTAGGAGTTAACTTAAGTCTCCCCTATATTCCCATAGGAATTTATTCAAGGATTATGTCTTTATCATCTTCATGTACTTTTGGTCTTTTATGTGCTTTTTACATATAGAAGCACTCAGTTAATATTGTGAAATTGAGTTAGTGAGTCATTTCTAGGAGTCTCCATCACTACTCTGTTTATTTTTGTTCTCATCACTGCTCTTTAAAATTCCTGTATTATTTCCCGAATTTCTATGCCATGGTGTTTCAAAAACACGCCAAAATGATCTTACAGTAAAAATGTGCTATTATGGGAATAGTTAGAAAGGATTGATTCCTCATTGTGTTTCATTTGTTCTTATTCTTAGATATTTTCAAGTGCATTTTCAATTCGAGCTCAGTATTTTCCTTAATGCTCATGAAAAAAAAATACTTATTTTTTTGATTTTTTATAGAGATGAGTTCTTGCAGTATTGTCCAGGCTGGAGTGCAGTGGCTATTAACAGGTGCAGTCATAGCACCCTACAACCTTGAACTCCTGGGCTCAAGCCCAGCCTCCCAGGTAGTTGGGACTACTGGCATGTGCCACTGCATCTGGCAAAAAATATAAATTTTAGGTGGAATTTAAATATTGAGACTTGTTGCAATTAGTCTGACATCTTTGTTTAAGTAGAAGATCAAGATTGTGATTATCACGAATCTGATAAACTTTCATGCATTAACAAAGCAGAATTAATTCCAGTTTATGTTTGCTTGATTGAAGTGCTGTTAACTCTGAGAGGTATTTTTTTAAATAATACATTTATATATGAAATAATCAGAAACTTGGCCAAGTATGATAAGAAAATATATCTTAATATTTTAACATGTTAAAATAGTACTCAATAGAAATTATGTGACTAACTTTATTTTTGCTGTTTTAGATTATATATGAACAAGAAGGAGTATATATTCACTCATCTTGTGGAAAGACCAATGACCAAGACGGCTTGATTTCAGGAATATTACGTGTTTTAGAAAAGGTAAGTTTCTAGTAAATGATTTTATTTAATAATAGTTTATGGTAGTGATTCATCTTTGGAGAATTATCAGAAAGTTTGAATTTCATGTGTAAGATACAATTATGTAATTGAACAGTAATTGTAAATTTAACACCGAAATGATGTAATAGTCAAACACACGCTCCTTGACTTATGATGGGGTTATGTCTTGATAAACCCATCATAAATTGAAGATATTGTTTATCAAAAATGCATTTAATACACCTAACTTACTGGACATCATAGCTTAATTTCCTTAAACGTGCTTAGAACACTTACATTAGCCTACAGTTGGGCAAAATTATCTAACATAAAGCCTGTTTTATAATCAAGTGTTGATTATCTCATGTAATGAATTGAATACTGTGCTGAAAGTGAAAAACAGTGTTTCTGTGGTTACCTGAAGTATGATTTCTACTGCATGTGCATTGCTTTTACACCATCCTATTACAAAAAAATCCTGAGTCAAACCATCATGAGTCAGGGACCGTCTGTACTTTAGATAAAATGACATGGAATATTCTAAAACTTACGTAGAAGTTGTAGCAATATAAATTTTTCATGATGAAAAGTAGGCAGAATTTGAAAAATCTATGTAACATTTTTGATTTACATATGATGTTAGCATATTTAAAATGTAGATATTTAAGAGGCTGAAATTTTATTTTGGGTTCAGGGAATAAAATAATTAAGAATAACATATTGCTGAATATTAAATATAGTTCATAATTTCTTTCTCTAGGATGCCGAAGTAATAGTGGACTGGAGACCATTGGATGATGCATTAGATTCCTCTAGTATTCTCTATGCTAGAAAGGTATTTAAGAAAAAAATGTGTTACTAAGGGAATGCCATTTAAAAAATAACAGTATTATCCATATATAATTCACATACCATAAAATGCATCCTTTTAAAGCATACAATTCAGTGGTTTTTAGCATATTTACAGAGTTGTGCAGCCATCCACCAGTATCTAATTTTAGAACATTTTCATCACCCTCCAGAACTCTGTCAGCAGTTAACCCCTCATTTCACCTACTTTCAGTCACTGGCAATCACTAATCTACTTTCTGTCTCTAAGGATTTGCCTGTTCTAGACATTTCGTATAAATGGAGTCATGTAATAATGTAGTGTTTTTTTTTGTGACTGGCTTCGTTCACTTTGCATAAGGTTTTCAAGGTTCATCTGTGTTACATAGCATGTATGGTCCTTTTGTTTTTGATGAATAATATTGTGTATACCATTGTTTTGTCTAATAGTGTATATATCACAGTTTTATTCATCAATTGATGGACATTTGGGTTGTTTTCACTTTGGGGCTAATATATATAATGCTGCTGTGAGCATTCATGTGCAGGTTTTTTGTGTGAACATGTTTTTATTTCTCTTGAGTATATACCTAGGAGTAGAATTACTGGGTTTTATAATTGTGTGTTTAACATTTGGGGGAACTGCCACACTTTTTCAGAGCAGCTGCATCATTTTCTAATCCAGCAGTATATGAGGATTCCAATTTGTCTACATCCTCATCAACACTTGTTATTATCTTTTTAATTTTAGTAAACCTAGTGGATATGAAGTTCTATTTGTTTCCTAGGGCTACTGTAAACAAATCATCACAAACTGGGTGGCTTAGAACAGTCTTAATTTATTGTCTCTCAGTTCTGGAGACTAGAAGTCAGCAATCAAGGTATTAGCAGGATTGGTTTCTTCTGAGGGCTGTTAGGGAGAATCTGTTGCCTGTCTGCTAATTTCTAGTAGCCTCAGACATTCCTTGGTTTGTAGATGGTGTCCTCTGTGTGTTTTCACATCATCTTCCATTTGTTCATGTCTATCTGTCTGTTAATCCCCTTTTTATAAGGACATTAGTCATATTGGATTAGGGCCCATCCTGATAATCTCATTTTAACTTGATTACTTGTGTTAAGACCCTATTTCCATTAGGTTGGTGCAAAGGTAATTGAGGTCTTTGACATTGCTTTAATGGCAAACACCGCAATTACTTTTGCACCAGCCTAACAAATCGAGTCACGTTCTGAGGTAATGGGAGTTAGGATGTTAATTTATCTTTTTGGGAGGGGGCGGCACAATTCAAACCATAACTGAAGTTGTATGTCGTTGTGGTTTTAATTTATGTTTTCCTAATGACTAATGTTGTTGAACATCTTTTCATGGGATTATTGGCCATGTGGTGTATACACTGTCTTTTGGTATCTGTGGGGTATTGGTTCTATTTGATGTAGCATAGTACTTGGTGCACAGCAAATTCGAGTTTTACCTTTTGGAAGTTTGTGGAATTTTTTTTCCTGAATATTTTAGATTCCAGGTTTGAATCCACAGATACAGAACCCATGGCTATGGAGGGCCAACTGTATCTTCTTTGGAGAAATGCCTGTTCTAAATCTTTTGCCCATTTATTTATTTATATTTACTATTTTTTTTTTTTTTTTTTTGAGACGGAGTCTTGCTCTGTCGCCCAGGCTGGAGTGCAGTGGTGCGATCTCAGCTCATTGCAACCTCTACCTCCCAGGTTCAAACAATTCTCATGCCTCAGCCTTCCAAGTAGCTGGGATTACAGGTTCCTGCCACCATGCCCAGCTAAGTTTTGTATTTTTAGTAGAGATGGAGTTTCACCATGTTGGCCAGGCTAGTCTCGAACTCCTGACCTGAGGTGATCTGCCCGCCTCTGCCTCCCAAAGTGCTGAGATTACAGGCTTGAGCCACCGTGCCTGTCCTTGCCCATGTAGTTATATGTCTTTTCTTTTATTTTTGAGACAAGGTCTTGCTCTGTCGCCCAGGCTGGAGTGCATGGTGTGATCTCGGCTCACTGCAACCTCCGCCTCCTGGCCCAAGCGATCCATCCACCTCAGCCTCCCAAATAGCTGGAACTACAGGCGCATGCCACCATGCCCGGCTAATTTTTGTATTTTTTGTAGAGACAGGGTTTCAGCATGTTGGCTAGGCTGGTCTCAAACTCCTGAGCTCAAGCAGTCTGCCCGCCTTGGCCTCCCAAAGTGCTGGCATTACAGGGTAGTTACTTGTCTTTTTATTGTTGAGTTGTAAGAATTCTTTATATATTCTGGATATAAATTTCTCATCAGATGTGTAATTTGCGGACATTTTTTCCCGTATGGTGGACTGTTTTTTCACTTTCTTTTTGGTATGCTTTGAAGCACAAACGGTTTTAATTTTCATGAAGTCAAGTTTATCTATTTTTTTTCTTTTGTTGCCTGTGCTTTTGGCGTGTCATATCCAGGAAACCAGTACCTAACTCAGGATTATGAAGATGTACTGCTGTTCTTCTGAGTTTTATAGTTTTAGCTCTTATATTTAGATTGGTGATTTTTTTTTTCTTTCTTCCTCCCTTTCCCTACCTTCTCCTCGCTTCCACATCAAGTCTCCATCACCTGAGTAATGTACATTATACCCATTAAGTAATTTCTCATGTATGGTCCATTTTGAGTTAATTTTTGTGTATGATGTAAGATAAGGAATCATTTGAACAGATTTTTTTATTAAATGGTTGTACTTCTAATTCTGTTATGTTTTTGTGCTTTTCATGTGTCTGTTCAATATTTTCTCATAATTTTTTATTAAAGATTTTATTTTTATTTATTTATTTATTTTTGAAGCAGAGTCTCACTCTGTCACCCAGGCTGGAGTACCGTGGCATGATCTCGGCTCACTGAAATCTCCACCTCCTGGGTTCAAGCGATTTTTCTGCCTCAGCCTCTCGAGTAGCTGGGACTACAGGCGCGCACGTCACCACACCTGGCTAATTTTTTGCATTTTTAGGAGAGACGGGGTTTCACCATATTGCTGGTCTCGATCTCCTGACCTCGTGATCTGCCTGCCTTGGCCTCCCAAAGTGCAGGGATTACAGGCGTGAGACACTACACCTAGCCCTAAAGATTTTATTATTTATAAAATTCATTCTAATTCAAATTATACATTTTCCTACATAAATTCTGGGTTTTAGAAGTTTTATTATGGAAAACAGAGGTATCTCACTTTTCCACCAAATTTTCCATCTCCCAAGGCAATTATAAACCTTGTAGCTGTTTTTTTGATTAGTTACAGCCCTGTGTCTAAATAACATTCTTCTAACACTGCTATTTTTTTTTCCAATTTACATATGTGTGTTGACTCCTCACTGTGGAAGGTGGGGATTTAGCTCTGTTTTATCTGTGAATCACCTTGAAACTCTTGCTCAGTTGTCTACATTTCTTCTCAGAATATTTAAACACATAGATTGTCTTCTAATTTCATTTTCTTAGATACTCTTATCCCAGAGCCTTCTCACAAGCTTATCCTGGACTGATTGCTCTTTTAGTTTGCAGTGCAGCAGCTTTCCTGGGGGTTCTTTTTTGCCTCTTTTCCATATTTTAATCCCTCTGTTTTTTGTATCCCATGCCAACCTCTGTTTTGATTTATTCCTTGTTTTGGTGCAGCTCCAGGGCTTCCTGAGAAAAAGAGTGCATGGGAACAAAAACATTTCTTTTTTTTGTTTTGTTTTGTTTTTGTTTTTAAAGACTTGGCTTTATTCTGAATTGGCCTGGCAGGCCAAGAATTACAGTTTGAAAGTAAATTTTCCCGTGGATTTTTTTTTTTTTTTTGAAGTTTTTTTGTTTTGTTTTTTTTGAGACAGAGTCTCTCTCTGTCTCCCAGGCTGGAGTGCAGTGGCAGGATCTCCATTCACTGCAACCTCTGCCTCCTGGATTCAGGTGATTCTCTTGCCTCAGCCTCCGGAGTAGCTGGGACTACAGGTGTGCGCCACCACACCCGACTAGTTTTTGTATTTTTAGTAGAGGCAAGGTTTCACCATGTTGGCCAGGCTGGTCTCGAATCCCTGACCTCAAGTGATCTGTCCACCTCAGCCTCCCAAAGTGCTGGAATTACAGACGTGAGCCACTGTGCCTGGCTGTTTTTGAAGTTTTGCCTCAGGTTTTCTACTTTCCTTTATTGATGTTAAGTCTAATGCATTCTAATTCCTGATCCCATGTTATGTGTGTGTGTGTGTGTGTTTTTTTTTTTTTTAAACCTCTCTAGAAGCTTTTAATTATTGTCTTTTTGTTTCTAGTTTTATGTTCTGGTTATGTGCCTTTGTGGATTTGTTTTTTTAATACATTGTGCTGGGTACTTGATGAGCTCTTTTAATATGGAAACTTCTGTCTTTTTTTTTTAATTCTGGGAAATATTTTTGATTTATTTTAGTGATGATTTCTTCCCCATTTTCTGTTTTCTTTCTTTCTGGAGCTCTACAATTTCTGGACTGGTCCTGTAATTTTAAAATCTTTTCTTTCCTGTTTTTCCTTCCTTCCTTCCTTCCTTCCTTCCTTCCTTCCTTCCTTCCTTCCTTCCTTCCTTCCTTCCTTTCTTCTTTTTCTTTCTTTCGTATTTATTTATTGGTCTGTACTATTTTCTAGGAAATTCACTTTTCTATTGCCTTTTTCATTTTTTGCTATAATTTCATTACTAAGACATCTTTCTTGTTCTGAGTGTCCTCGTGTCCCCTTTTAAAGGAATAGCATTAGCATTCTGTTCTTTGTGGTTGTAATATATTTTCTTATTACTGAGGAGTTTAAGGATAGCTTCTTAGATGTTTTTCATCTCCCTATGTAGTCCATTTCCCTCTAGTGACCTTTTGCTCTGCCCCCACCTCATTTCATTTGAACTCTGTTTTCTGTAGATAACTTGTCTTTGATGTTTGTTGCTTATGTAGTGTGGGGCTCATATTTAACAAATTTAAGAGCAGATGCACAACAGTGATTATATTCTCTGTAGGTATGGTTAGGCCTGGTAATAGTGAGACTCTTCCTGGGGTGCATGGCTAAGCTGTTTCCTTGGAGAATCCCTAATGTCAAAGTTCACGTCTTTTTGGGCTAGTAGATTTGACAAGAATCTGCAGATTCCTGCCTGGAAATGGTAAGCTTGGATGGCAGTATTCTGGCAAATGAGTGGAGAAAAAGGGCTGGGAGTCTTGCCAACTTCTTTGTATAGGTTGACTTTCAGTTAATTCTCCTGATTTCAGTATATTATTCCTTTGCTCATTGTGTTTGATTTTTCCTAATTTAGAGATAAATGATGTTTTCCAAAACTCCAGCCTTTTGGACTTAGTTGTCCTGTCTTCAGGTTGACCTTTAATCCTTATTTCCCTGATTATTGGCATGACCTACCAATTTGAGCCTTTTTGTATGCAGAGTTGGTAGGGGGAAGTAGAAGTCAGAGAGAGAGAGAGAGAGAGGTGGGGAACAGAGTACTCTTGTAGATGCTTCTTAGCTTTCCTCACTACTGACGATAGGGTTAGGGTTAATAGGGATGGTGGTGAGGGTTTTTGTTTTTTTTTTTGGAGGAGTCTCTCTCTTTCATCCAGGCTGGAGTGCAGTGGTGCGATTTCGGCTCACTGCAATCTCCGCCTCCCGAGTTCAAGCGATTCTGGTGCTCCAGCCTCCCAAGTAGCTGGGATTACAGGCACCCCCCACCACTCCCGGCTAATTTTTGTATTTTTAGTAGAGACGGGGGTTTTGCCATGTTGTCCAGGCTTGTCTCAAACTCCTGACCTCAAGTGATCCACCTGCCTTGGCCTCCCAAAGTGCTGGGATTACAGGCATGAGCTACTGCACCTGGCCTGAGGGTTGATTTAAAAAAAAAAAAACTAGTCAAACAAGAAATGACATTTGAGGAAGGAACTGGAAGAAAAAACAATCTATTTGATAATTTCATTTGTTCAGTTTCCCTACTGTTTTTCAGTCTGTTTCTATTTCTTACATCTTAATTTTTCTTGTGCCTTTATAGTTTCTTTTCATTCTTACTAATTTTCCTTTTCTCTTTTAAAAAAGAATTATACTATTGACACATGAATACAATCCTGTTGCAAAAGTTCAAGTAATAGAAAGTTGAAGCCCTGCTTGACTAGAGTCTTTTCCCTTACCTGTCTCTCTCTCTCTCTTTTTTTTTTTTTGGAGACGCAGTTTCGCTCTTGTCACCTAGGCTGGAGTGCAATGGCTCAATCTTGGCTCACTGCAACCTCTGACTCCTGGGTTCAAGCTATTCTCCTGCCTCAGCCTCTCGAGTAGCTGGGATTACAGGAATGTACCACCATGTCTGGCTAACTTTTTTGTATTTTTTGTAGAGACGGAGTTTTACCATGTTGGCCAGGCTGGTCTGAAACTCCTGACCTCAGGTGATCCACCCGCTTCGGTCTCCCAAAGTGTTGGGATTACAGGTGTGAGCCACCTCGCTCGGCCTCCCTTACCTGTCTCTGTTTAATGTATATCTTTCCAGACTTTTACCTGTATGCATTTTATTTTTATGTATGTATGTGTTTAGAAAGACCTAGTTTGTCCTCCTGTGTCAGTAGTAATGAGCACTGTCATCAGCAGTGTGAGATGGTCCATTTCCTCACGTTGTCTTCCATATTTGATATTATCTTTTTTAATTGAATGGGGCAAAAAATAGAAATCTGTCAACTTGCTTTTCATTGTTACTGAAGTTGGACATCTTTCTATGTTTATTACATTATATTTCTTCTTCTTTGACTTGCCTATTCATACCATTTGCCTGTTTTTCTGTTTTGATATTTGTCTATTTCTAAATAAATTAATAGGAGTTGTTTTGTAATCTGGACATTTTTCTTTTGTCATATATTTTAGAAAGATGTTGTAGTTGTGCTATCTTTAGCTAATATATGGTGTCTTTTGTTGTATAGAAATTAAATTTTTGATTTACTCAAACCATATTGCATTTTAGACTTTTGGTTTTATTATCTTTAAAGATGGAAAATTCTATAGAACTATACCTGTGAATATGTTGCTTTTAGCTAATTTTGATTGCCTGTAAGAAATTATACAACCATTGATGGCTTAAATAGCCACCATTGGGCTCTTTTCTTTAAATAACTAAAAGTTTGGAGGTTGGGAGCTTTTTGCAGTGGTTCTCTTGCTTTTTATTTTATTTTTAGGCAGCATGGTTACATTCAAAGCAGGAAAAAGGAAAAAAAGGATGAGGCTTTTATTATGAAAGCAAAGCCATTTTCAGAGTTGACTTCTGCTTATATTTCATTGGCAACTCTGACTGCAGGGGAGTCTAGTCAAGCTTCTCTTCCTTTTTTTTTTTTTTTTCATAAAGATGATCAAGAGAGAAAAGTATAGGAAATGGTGTTCAGTTTTCCCACCAGTGATGTCGTCTGCAGCCTGCCTACAAACATTGAAGCTAAGATGATATGGATTGAAATTAAATTTGTTTTAGACTTTAAATATTTTATATGTTATAATTATTTTAGGACTCCAGTTCAGTTGTAGAATGGACTCAGGCCCCAAAAGAAAGAGGTCATCGAGGATCAGAACATCTGAACAGTTACGAAGCAGAATGGGACATGGTTAATACAGTTTCATTTAAAAGGAAACCACATACCAATGGAGGTATGAATTAAATCTTTTGAAATCTTAAACTGATTTGCTACAGTATACTAATAAACAAAAATGCAAAGAAGATTCGTGAATGCTCCTCAGTGAGAAGGATGATTAATTTCTTTGGTTAATAGGTATAAATCTCATATTTTAGTTATATTCCCTTTTCATCTCTGTTTTATTGGTTGTGGCTTCAAAAAAATATTTTAAAATACTTGCTCTATTTTATAGTTATTAATGGCAGAAAGTAGAACCACTTTAAAACATTCCTTTGGCTGTCCTTCATGCACATTTTTCTTAATTTAGTAGAATTATAATAATCATGTTATTTTATCCTAAAGTAACAGAGGGAGATGGAGTATACCACTAAATCATACCATTCTAATTTCAGCATCTTGCTGGACTCTTCATGGCTCATTGCAGTTTTCCCTTAATATGTGTTGAGTGACTATTCTCCTTTCTACATATATACCATCATGTGCCACATAACAGCATTTCAATGACTGATCGCCTATATGTCAGTGGTCCCATAAGCCCATAAGATTATAATGGAGCTGAAAATTTCCTGTCACGTAGCGACATCATAGTCTTTGTACGGTCACAGTGCAGTGCATCACCTTTTCTACATTTAGACGTGTTTAGATACACAAATACTTAGCATTGTGTTACAGTTGCCTGTGGTATTCAGTATAGTAATATTGCTATATAGGTTTGTAGCCCAGAATTTCATAAAAGAAAGAAGCTTTACATGAATGAGAAAAGCATAATCTGACAATAAAGATCACTTTATTAGTGGTTCTCAGCCTTGGCTGCACATTGAAATCACCTGGGTAGGTTAGATTTTTAAAAAATACTACCCAAAATCAGACTCTGGAGATATAGCCTGGGCATCTGTGCATTTTAGAAGGTCTTCAGATGACTTTAATATGTGGTCAGAGTTGAGAACTTCTGTGTAGCTGTGTAGCTTAGCAAAAAACGACAGATGTAATCCTGCTTATGGCTTGACCACAGACTTTATTTTGTAGTTATTAAAAGTTAAAGGCCGGGCGCGGTGGCTCACTCCTGTAATCCCAACACTTTGGGAGGCCAAGGCAGGCGGATCACGAGGTCAGGAGATCGAGATCACCATGGCCAAAATGGTGAAACCCTGTCTCTACTAAAACACAAAAAAATTAGCCGGGCGTGGTGGCGCATGCCTGTAAGTCCCAGCTACTGGGGAAGCCGAGGCAGGGGAATCGCTTGAGCCTGGGAGGCAGAGGTTGCAGTGAGCCGAGATTGTGCCACTGCACTGCAGCCTGGCAACACAGCAAGACTCCGTCTCAAAAAAAAAAAAAAAAAAAAAAAGTTAAGGAGGCATTTTCTAAGCCCGTGGGTTCATTTCTAAGCTTGAGGGTTTATTTTGAACCCTCAAGCTTAGAAATTCCAGAGGTTTTAAATGTATTTCATTACGAAACTTTCTTATTTTCTAAAAGTTTTTTTCCCCCCAAAGAAAAAGCTTTTGTTTTTCTTACCTTTTACCCTTCTCATTTTTAACTTTGTACTTTTTTCTTTTTTGTGTGAGGCACAAAGCCAATTTGGGACAAACCTTTAAAAATTGACTATCAGACTTATTTAATTATATTTCTTAAGAGCATTTTGCTTTATATTTCATAAGAGTTTCTACTGCTACATCCTTTGTTATTATATACCAGACAAGTTAAATGTTTTGGAAATATTCCTTCCAAGAACATCAGACTGTCTCATGTTTGTTCTAGAGATCCATCCAAATAAAATTTGTCCTTGATGTTAATTCTATTTAAGGCATATAGAGACTTACTGAACTGTTCTGCTCTTACAAGAAGAGTAGAGTTGTTTGTTCAGTTCTTCTGCTATTATATTTAGTATTCTCATGTTAGTGTGTTGGAGATAGTTTTTACATGTATTTGGTAACATAGTAAATTCATTAGAACTAATTAATTTTCTTTACCTTTGCTTTGAGTAGAAAGATATTTTGAATTCACTCTTGATTTCCGTTTTCCTTTGTAACCATTTCTATTTCTGGCTAGCTATTTGCAGCAGAATGCTTTGCAGTTTAGTTTTATGTTGACTTGATACTAGGTTGTTAATTCACTTATTCAACAGATAGTTCATCTTTGACTACTTACTGTATGCTAGCCACTCTTCTAGCACTGAGGATATGGCTGTGAACAAGATAAAGTTCCTGTTCTCATGAAGCTTTTATTCTAGTGGAGGGCCTAGAATATTTGTCAGGGCTTTAAATTTAAATATTTCTTCGTCACAGCTTTAAATGTGGAAATGTGTGAGGCATTTTCTTTTGTATGTAATATATGTCTCTTCTGTTAATGAGGGAAAAATCTATGTAAAACCTTTACTCTTGAATATGCATAAACTCCTGATAATTCATATAGCATACATATAGTATTTAATATACTTCATATGATTTTCTTGCATTAATTTAGATAAAATACTCTGTGCAACGAAGAATTTAATTTAAAAAATTGTCTATATGTAGTTTTTTGGGTTTCTTTCTTTTTTTCTTTTTTTTTTCATTGCTGTTTTTCTGTGAAATATTTTTGGTCTTTGCAGATAAGCCAGCAGTATGTATCTGTTCTAGGTAGTCTAAGTACATTCATACTTAAATGATTCATGAATAAGTTGAAATTCTAGAACTGTTCTCACTTAGATATCAGCTTGAAGTGGTCTTATGAGCTCTAAAATATAAATACCAGTGAAACATTATGTAAAGTAGTCAAGTGGGCACATGGCACTTAATCTGGTATCTCTTACATGTGAGTTCACTGTCCAAACTGGTGTGAAAGCTGCTGGTCATTGTATATAGATAAGTTACTTTAGCTTCCTTCAAATGATACTTGTTTAAGTGTCCATGAAATAATGATGGCGCATGGTTTCCTTGCAGATAGAGGTTTCTGTAAGCTGTAGATTTCTTTTTGTGAGTTCAAGAGATCTTATTAGAGATGATTGCAGATAGGACGGTGATACATCCATGCAGGTCAACACTGATTAATAAGTCTTCTGATCTAGTCTTGTAAGCAACTTCCTTCTAAGTAGTTTATCTTTGTGGGACTGGTAGTATGGGACAGAATTAATAAAGGTCTTGAGTAGCAGGATAGTGTGACACTTCTTAAGAAATAACATTTTAGGAAAGGTTTTTTAAAATTTCAGAGACACGACTTGCTTATGTTGGAGTTAAATTGTTAAAATGGTGTTTTAGATTAGAAGTGAATTATAAGAACTAGCATCATTAGTGAGAATAAATAGTTTTTTCTCTTTCAGTTTTTTATTTAAATTGTTGAGGTTTAAGTTGCTTGTTATCAATTACGATAATGTTCACAAACCTGGAATTTTCGCTTCTATAAAGAGGCCACAAACTCAGAACATGCCGTATTTTACATAACTATAATTTGGTTTGAACTGAGGTCTTAATTTAGTAGACAGTTAATTTAGCAATTGAATGTATTATTTTTGAAGCATTCACAACTTTTTATCTTTTCATCAATTCCTTGCTATACTTTGTTTTTCTGCAAATAAAATGTCTGTATATTCACTCCAGTGTTATTTTTTATATCAGTATGCTTACTTCACTACTAGTGTAGTGTCCTAAAAATAATTACAAAAGGAAATGAAGGAATAAAAGTTTTTGTTTTGTTTTTTGACTCTTCAAGAGAATTAAGCTATTCTTATTTTGGGGGGAGTGGGACAGATAAACATTTACTGAGAATTTTCGGTATACTTGGCTTGCACTAGTTAGTTGAAAAGTATTATCTCCTAATTCTTATTAATAGAATTACAATGGGAGGTAAGTATAATTATCTCCATTTTACAAATGAAGTAACTGAGGCTCAGAGAAATTCAATTATTTGTCCCAGGTCATTCAGTTAGTAAGATGGTAGTGCTGCAATATGAATCCAGTCTGCCTGCTTGCAAAGCCATGATCAGTTTTTTTGGGCAAAGCTTGTATTTTACATAGGAATAACATTTAAAACATTTATATGTGGTAGGATAATTATTTTAAAAATCATTTTTTAAAAGAACATATAAGTAGCCATATCTAATACAGGTGGAAGCCATAATAATATAAGTGCTATACTGATTCCCTGGGTTCAACTAATTTATGTTAGGCAGTCATGGAGAGCACTGTCAGTACCTTTTAAAAAGGTGAACAAAAATATTTTGCCCCACTTTCTTGTTTTTAAGATGCTCCAAGTCATAGAAATGGGAAAAGCAAATGGTCATTCCTGTTCAGTTTGACAGACCTGAAATCAATCAAGCAAAACAAAGAGGGTATGGGCTGGTCCTATTTGGTATTCTGTCTAAAGGATGACGTCGTTCTCCCTGCTCTACACTTTCATCAAGGAGATAGCAAACTACTGATTGAATCTCTTGAAAAATATGTGGTATTGTGTGAGTAAGTATCATATTATTTTCTACTTATTGAAACCAGATCATTGTATTAATCCCAAAGCAAACTATTTTTACTTGACCTTGGGCATCAGTGACCTATTTGCATATGAGGACATGAACAGCTTAGTTTTTTCTGGGATATTGATTTCTTTGGAACAATGACTGAATAATATTGTGTTATTTTAGTAATTTGAATCTGAGACTTACCACCTAATTACTGTTACAAAGAAAAGGGTAGTTTAATATTTTTTATACATTTAAATGAATGATGATGCATTAGTAATTTATGGCCTATGTGTTTACCTAATTTACCCTTTATTATGTATTTTCTATTAAATATACAGTTTTACTTGTGATGTTGCAGCTTTAAGTCAGGCAAGTCCTAAGTCCTTTATAAAATTATTTCTCAGTTGGAAGACAGGGCCTTACCACTTTCCAAAAATCTTGTCTCTCATTTAGTTACTGTGTGCATCTGTACACACACATGCTTCCTCACTGTTACTCTCAGCAAATATTTTTTGGGTATCTGTTACATCCCAACACTGGTAGTTGCTTGATATTTAGTAGTGAATAAAACAGGGGTGTTCCTAGGAATTAGAGAATTCATAGTCTTGTGAAGGATGTCAACAAGTAAAATGGCAATTAAAACTGAAGGACTAAGATGAAGAAGTGTAAGCCGCTTTGGGAGTTCCTGGGAAGGAATGAGGGGCACTTAATTCAGACTGGGAGTAGGGATCAAGGAAGACTTCCTGGAGGAAGAAGCATCTAAGTAGAGACCTGAAAAATGAGTGACCACTATAAGGAACGGGAAGGAGATACTTAGAGGGAAGGATGTTTTAGATGAAGGGAAGAGTACAAACATGATGTAATCACACAACAAATTAATTCAGTATTACAGGTCTGCAAAGTATGAGGAGGGGAGGGTGATACAGTTAAAGATGAGGCCAAAGAGCTGAGTAAAGTCCAAAGCACAAAGCATCTTTTAAGTCATGTTAGCAGGTTCTTCCAGTTATCCAGGTGAGATTAAAGTGGCCTGAACTGGGATAGTGACAGGAAAGATGGAAGTATTGGAGTCTTTAGAATTAGATTTTGTGATGGATTGGATATATGGAGGTAAGAAGGGAGAAGTTGAGGTTTTGGGCTTGGGGGAACTGCAGGGAATGATTGCTAACCTTCCTTCCTTCCTTCCTTTCCTTCCTTCCATGCAGTGGTGCGATCTTGGCTCACTGCAACCTCTGCCTCGTGGGTTCAGACAGTTCTCCTACCTTAGCCTCCTGAGCAGCTGGGATTACAGGCGTGCGCCACCACGGTTGGCTAATTTTTGTATTTTTTAGTAGAGACAGAGTTTCACCATATTGGCCAGGCTGGTCTCGAACCCCTGACCTCAGGTTATCTGCCTGCCTCGGCCTCCCGAAGTGCTAGGATTACAGGCTTGAGCCACTGCGCCTGGCTGCTAACTTCATTTATAATGTCCTCACTTTATAGTAGAATTTAACACCTTGCCCAAATTTAGATTACATAAGGCTTGCCTAAATTTAGATTACATAAGGCTAGAAGTGATACAAAAACTGGAAGATTCTCGACTGTGTATTTTCTGGCCTGAGATTCTCCCCTGCCATGTTAATCACCTCTAGCTGGCAACAGGCAAGCTGTTCAGTGCCAGTAAGTGTAAGAAAGTCAGACCTGCTTGGTGGTATGTGGATTGTGGATCTTGGATCTCGAAGTGAGAACCTGTGATAGGTTACCATTGAGAGGATGAGTAGATTTCAGGAGAGACAGTATCATGATTGGAATAGAAAATTATGGTTATTTAATAGCAGGCATTAAAGAGTTGGGAGTTTTAGCACCATAGTAAGCTCAGTATCGGTGTTGCGATGTAACTCACAAATGAGATCATTTGGTCTGAGACTGTTGATTAAAGCATAATATCTAGGATGAGGGAGGTGGTAGCTCCTCTCTCCTTTTTACTGATTATATTTTGGAGAAGTAGGCTTGAACTGCAAGTAGTAAACACTGCATTTTAAATGTGCTAGACTACCTATTCTATAGGTAAGAGATAGCAAACTACTGATTGAATCTCTTGAAAAATATGTGGTATTCTGTGAGTAAGTATCATATTATTTTCTACTTATTGAAACCGGATCATTGTATTAATCCCAAAGCAAACTATTTTTACTTGACTACTATTTTTACTTGATCAACTATCAAGTTGATCAACTACTATTTTTACTTGATCAACTATCAACTATTTTTACTTGATTACAGAATAGAAAATACTATTCTGTATTGAAGAGATAACCAGTGTAAGGAAGGGGATCAAAATGGTCCTATGAAAAATATTTCATTGAAGGATGTGGTTTAACTTGAAGAAGAGAAATTTCAATGCAACATTAAATAAAATCCAAACTTCTTCACTGTCATCAACAAGGGCCTGCCCTATCTTAGCTCTGTTTATCTCTTAAAACTCATCTCATGCCATTGTCTTTTCCATTCTACTCATGCAGATTTCTTTCAGTTCCTAAAACCCCCTAAACTCTTTCTTGTCTTAAGGTCCTTTATGCATACTGTTTTTTCTACTTGGAATATTTTCCTCTCTTTCTGATCCCTGAGGTCTCCATTTAATGTCACTTCCTCAGAGGGGCTTATGCCCTCTTTCCCCATCTAATGTAGTTTTCCTATCTCTGCTCCTCACTATCTAATTTTCTTGTTTGCTTCCTTCATGGCATCTAACAGCATACAATAATTTGGTCTATTCTTTTGTGTTTTACTCTAGAATGTATACTTCTGAAGGATAGGGATTGTATCTGTCTTGTTTCCATATTCTTCCTAGTTCCTAGCTACAGTTTCTGGTACATAATAAATGTGCAATAAATATTAGTTGAATGAATAAATGGCATGATGATTATCAATTTGACAAATAATTTTTGAAAGGTTATTGTGAGAAACAGATTGGAGATTTGCTTTATGTGACTCCAGAAAGAAATTAGAAGACAGGTTTTAGCTCAGGAGGTAGAGTTTCCTATCCTGGATGGGTTCAAGGATAGTCTTGATAACCACTTAAGCAGTTAATAGGGGTATATGTATCTTGAATGTGTGTTGTTCATGTTTCGTGAGAGTAGCAAGTGAAAGCTTGTTTCCTTTTCTAAATTTGTAAACAAATGAGAAGTATGAGAATCAGAGATGGGGATGGGCACACTGGCCTATGCCTGTAATCCCAGCACTTTGGGAGGCTGAGGTGGGCGGATCACTTGAGGTCAGGAGTTCGAGACCAGCCTCGCCAACATGGTGAAACCCCGTCTCTACTACAGATACAAGAAAGCCAGCTGTAATCCCAGCTACTCGGGAGGCTGAGGCAGGAATATGGCTTGAACCTGGGAGGCAGAGGTTGCAGTCAGCTGAGATCATGTCATTGCACTCCATCCAGCCTAGGCGACAGAGTGAGACTTTACCTAAAAAAAAAAAAAAAGAATCAGAGATGGTGATGAAAATACTGTTATTAGAGGGGTTTAGACATATGACATTATAATAATTCACCCCAGATTAGTTTTGAACTAAACTGGCTGTTGTTACTTCTTGACACCTACAGGCTTTCCTAATGAGGACAGGCCACTGAGGATGTGAATGAGAGCAGAATGAAAGCACCTTCTCTGTTGATAGGCAGATCTAAGAGAGAGGGAAAGAGAGAGAGCTTGGAAGGAATTATGCCAAGCATGCACCCTACTCTTTCTCAATCTCAGCACTTAAGTCCCTGGGAAGGAGAGTGTCTTTAGAAGTGCTCATTTCCTTTTGGAAATGTGAAGCCATAGAATGTTCCTTATACATGTTTCTTTTTTTTTTTTTTTTTCATTTAATTCAAGTATTTTTTTTTGAATGCCTACTGTGTCTTAGATGCAGTAGTGCTATTTTCTGGAAAGAAAGCAGTAATCAAAAAAGACATGGCCCCTGCCTTAAGTTGCAGCTATAATAAGTGCCGTGAATAAGACATATGGCAATATAAAAGTATATTAGGATAATATGTAAGTTTTCCATGTGTGGGAGTGATTGAAACTCTGAGAGAGAATGAAATCAACTAAGGGGAGCATAGAGTTGGAGGAGATGTGAGCCTAAGTGATTAATTGCACCCTTTAATAATCTGGTAAAAGAGAAAAAGCTTTGTACACTTTGTTCTCTTCTCATTAGGCTTAATCATTAAGTTTTTAGTGAACCAGGATGTGGCTGCTCTTCTTGGGGAAGGAGATAGTGTCTAAAGTGACTACTTCAAAAGCTGTTCTTCTAATATCAGCCACTGCTTTGTGTATTCTCCTGTGACACTGGGAGGGCAATTTACGTTTTGACCCATGAATGGTCTGAAATGTGTAAAAACAGTGCATCAAATATTTTATCTCCAAGGCCCCTCCATACTCTAGGCTGAAAATAAGTGCTCCCTCCCTATTCTCCTTCCTGTCACAAATTATGCCCAAATATATTATGCCATGTAGCTCACCATAGATTTTATAGACTCCAAGTAGTAGAATAAAGCTATTCCAAGTAGTAGAATAAAGCTATTCCAAGTAAATATTCACCAGTATTTAAAAAGTCCCAAATTTATATAAGCCATCCCCCACTGTCAGATTCTTTTTTGTTTTAACTTTTATTTTAGGTTCAGGGGTATATGTGCAGGTTTGTTATGTAGGTAAACTGCATGTCACGGGGTTTTGGTGTACAAATAATTCTGTCACACAGGTAGTAAGTATAGTATCTGATAGGTAGTTTTTCTGATCCTCTCCCTCCTCCCACTTTCCACCCTCAAGTAGGCTCTGGTGTCTGTTGTTCCTCTCTTTGTGTCCATGTGTTGTTTGTTGTTTAGCTCCCGCTTATAAGTGAGAACATGTAGTATTTGACTTTCTGTTCCTGCATTAGTTTGCTTTAGGAAAATAGCCTCCAGCTTCATCCATGTTGCTGCCAAGGACATGGTCTCATTCTTTTTATGGCTGCGTAGTATTCCATGGTGTATATATACCACATTGTCTTTATCCAGCCTACCACTGATGGGCGTTTATGTTTATTTCATGCCTTTGCTATTGTGAATTACAGAATTCTTAAGGAGAAATTTAAAGGCTCTTGTTCTTGTTAGTTAAGATTCAAATAAGTGGAATTCCCAAATTTTTAAGTTAAAGTTCAAATAAATGAAAATTTCTAAATATTATACCCAATTTTTATTCTACTAGGTGTCAGCCCGAGGGGTCTCATTTCCTGTCCCTGGAGCAGTTATCCTAAGTAAAACGATGTTTCCAGAGTCTTATTTCTATGGTCAAAGATTGTTTTAGAGACCACAAAGAAGAGTAGTCAAGGAAATCTTGGTTTCAGCCTCATTGGGATGCCAGTGGTCACCCCTCCTGTCTTCTTTTGAGTTCAAAACCAAGAGAATTAGATCAGATAACTTTTTTTTTATTTTTGATTAAGTTAAATTGAGGAATGTGGCTTGCATTTGTGGCCATGTTGTCTTCCCAATCTACTTCCTAGTGAATTAAGTTTGTCTTCATAAAGAGCTGACCTTCCTTTTACAGGAGCAGGGCCTTACCATATGGATGAGCAGAGATTGCTAGTAATCTAGGAATGGGCAACCTAGATGGCTCACAAGCGCCAGGAAGAGGCTCTGCTAGGCTAGTCATGTGTAGTTCCTTCTTTCAGTCTCAACAACCCGATCTAGTCAGTGCAACATAGGCCATCTTGACGCTTAATATTTTTCAGATAGTTTTCTTATTTACCAGGAAAACAAATTGTCATATTTGTTCATGTTTGTGTTCTTTGATTTATCATCATTTAAAATATGATATTCACTTGGATAAAAGAATCAGCTACAAATACATTTTTCTTACCTTTCTGAAACCAAGTTGGTTGCTAAGATATGAATGAGACCTGTTGATTCCATTAAGTTATTTTGTATATTGGGCCATTTTTACATTGATATGCAAATATCCAAGCAGTAAAATATTCCCTTAAAAAGCCAAATTTGTTGTATCATCAAACAGCACCAACCATTTAAAAGATTAGGTTCTAGATGTAAAATTTTGTTATTGTACCTTTCTATCTTTTATTCCCAGTTTTGATTGATAATCTCTGCAATGCTGTTTATTTCTTTAGCCTTACATATTGGTCATTCTCAATAGAAATATAAAATAGTTACTGCTACATTTGGGTATACAAGCATTGTTCAGTTTATAATTTCTGAGTTTATTATGAGGTCTTTGGGACAGGCTCACACCAAAGCCTGGGATATACTTCAGAATTTTCAGGAGATATGCTTCTATAGTTGTGATACTAGACTATAGTTTTCTTCAAATTGTTTAGCAGGCTGTAATAGAATTGCTGGGTTAGCATCATTAAAAGTTCATCTTACTGCTGCAATGAGTTTGAAAGTCTTGAATAATGTTAGCATGAGAGATCAACTTCCCAGAATATATATTTATAGATTAAATCAGTGTGGTGACCCAGCAGGTGGAAACATTCTGGTAATATTTTGGAATACCAGTCTTCCTTATGGTGAGCTCTGCAATTACCTAGCGGTGTAACAGTATACTACTTGTCCTTTGACTGATGTACTTTTTAAGTGTTTTGTTGATTTCCTTTGGAGCAGTCAGGTCTTTAATTTCTTCATATCTTCCCTCCTTCTTAGAGCTTCCTCCACCCTCCATCACACAACAATAGTTATGAGAAAAGAAAAGAAGGAATTTCTTTTTAAAAAATATTTGTGGTTGCTTGTTGGTAAGGCAGTCATTTCATCTTCGGATCTCCAGTTTAGTGGCCACTGTTTAAGATATGGAGCCATAGAGTTATCTGAACCCAGATAGCTGAAAGTTGCCTATTTGTTCCTCTTTTATATGTATAGGCAGTGGTTTGACTTTCATGAGCATTTTTTATTTGGGTTTTAAAGAAATAATTTGACTTAATTTATTGTTAGAAACAAAATGATGGCAGTGCCAGCAGCACTGTGCTAGGAATAAAATTTTGTTTCTTTATTAGCTACTTTTCTTTTCTGATGCTACATTTCAAAGTCCATCATTTAAAAAATGCCTTGTGAGAGAATCTGTAAGTCTGCCTATTAATTATGACCCCTCAAAATATTCAGAAAAGTAAATGTTTTAAAATGTATTTTTTTTCCCTCCTATGTCAAATGACTCAACCTCAGCCCCTTTTGAAAGGCCAAGGGGCTTATTAGCTACTATTGTATATGCAGATCGAGTGCTGTTCCTGACTGTGTAAGAATATAAGATCCTGTTTTGGATTTCATATCCACTCTAGCATTACTGTTACATCCTGTTATGTTAGAATTGAGAAGGGATAACTGTTATTAAAGATCTTATCTCAAACATTTATAATAAACAGGAGGTGTATAGCAGCAAAATAACACATTTAATTTTTATTTTAAACATAGAAAATTTGTAGATTTATTAGAACTGACTAAGTCATAAAACTCACTAAATAGAAAAAAGACTGGATAATTTGTCAGATGACTAGAAATTAGATGTCTGTTTTGGAAACATTTTGTTAAATTCTGTCATTACTAAGAAATGTGAAGAGACTTGCTTCTAGAGTTTAATAAGCAAGAACTAAAAACATAGTATTACCCAACCATTCATAATAATCTTGTTAAAATATGTTCATATGTGTGTGTTTGTAATTATGGTTAGCATGATTAATGATCTTTATCAAATAACTAATATAGCTTACATTTTTAACATCTTATATTGCAGTATTACTAAGCTGTGAATGAAGGTGGAAATGATTTCAAAATAGGACATATTTTCTGTATGTAAATATTATATACTGATGACTCCTAATGTCTGTTTTGGCTTTCTTTAATTTTTATGATAATAAAGCCAGCTATCTTGTAATGGTTTTCTACTATAATTCTAGAGAAGAATTTAGGTTCATTCCAGTTTAATCCTTTTGGCTTTACCTGGAATAAAAATACACTTTATATTTGTTTTATTTACGTTATATACAGTGTATTTAGTATTTGTTAATTTTGTATTTTATGTTTCATGTAGTTTTGAAGCTCCTTTAAAATAGTTACTAAATATTTGCTAATGTATTAATGGAAAACTGTTAAAATATTTTGGGTTTTTTTTTTTTTTGGTAAGGAACATTTGTGTTAGTAATTGTTCATGTAGTAATTGATACAGTGTGTTAGTATTTTCTACAAATCCTCTTTTTTATTATAGATCTCCACAGGATAAAAGAACACTTCTTGTGAATTGTCAGAATAAGAGTCTTTCACAGTCTTTTGAAAATCTTCTTGATGAGCCAGCATATGGTTTAATACAAGTATGTTCCTTAAATCTATCCTGTATTATTCTGACTGCATTATTTTATATACCCTGTACTTCTCATCTTCTCAGAGAGTATGCAAAATGAGACAGGTACATATATATACATAGATATGTGTGTGTGTGTGTGTAATCTTTTTGGAACTATTCTCTAATTTTACAGAAACAATAATAAGTTTTCATGTTATTTGCAAGACTCAGAGGCTTCCTTGGTTCTTAGTTACTCATAAGGAAATTTCTCAGTTTATTATAATACTAAAATTAGACATCAGTAGATTTGTATCATAACTTTTATTGATTAGGCCAGGGATCACAGAGTAGGCCAGTTTGAATTCATTAATGATCGGTTTAGGCAAAAATCTGGTTTGAATTTAAGTAGATTGTTTTGACGTCATGACAATCTTATTCCCCTAAGAATATTTGAGTACTGTTCTTACATTTGGCTAAAAATGTGCACTTAATAATAGGCAGAAGTAAATTTAATTATCACTCAGATGACTATGTAAAGTAATGAGATGGTTTATTCATTTATTTATTTATTCACTTATTCATTTAACAAATATGTGAGTGCTTGCTGTGTCCCAGCTATTCTTTTCCTGGTTTTGAAGATGTAAAGATTAATAAGATATAGAGGGAACTTTAGGAAAGAGGATGAGAGAGAGAACTAAACACTGTTTAAAATGGACAATAAAAGGATAATTTTACTTATTGTGAAAAGAATTATTTAATAAATAACTGTTTTTGCTAAATATGAATGAGCAAATAGTTTGGGCTTCAGAAGTTACCCTGGCACTTAACAGTAGAAAAACCTTTTGCTGTTTTCCAGGGTAGCACTGTCCCAGAATAAATTATTCTTGTTGGCATGATTTACTATTCATATAATTAGATTAAAATGTCAACTAATATTTAAATATGAGTTTTTAAATTTAGCCATCAAATATTTTGTGTCAGAATAGCATGGTGGTACACACTTCAAGAAATATTTTTTTTGTATGAAGGCAGGACTGCTAGACAGAAGAAAGCTGTTGTGGGCCATTCACCACTGGAAAGTAAGCACTGCGTATGTTTTCTGATGTATGCAGATTGAGTGAAGCCTGCAAATCATTTGTTTATCTGCAATTCAATCAGTAGCATTAACTTGTCATTTATTATGCTATTTTAACCAAATGAAATGATTGGCTTAGAAAATTTAAATTTTTCTTTGAAGAAAGAAAATACAAATTTAAGATAATCTTAGAACACTCTGTTTTAGTCCTGATTTCTTTTCTTTTAAAAAGCTTTGCTTTTTTGCTCATGATGGAGTATTCGTTTTTCTTTATTTGAGTTAATAATGCTAATATTTTTCTTCCTACTGCATAGAAAATTAAAAAGGACCCTTATACGGCAACTATGATAGGATTTTCCAAAGTCACAAACTACATTTTTGACAGTTTGAGAGGCAGCGATCCCTCTACACATCAACGACCACCTTCAGAAATGGCAGATTTTCTTAGTGATGCTATTCCAGGTCTAAAGATAAATCAACAAGAAGAACCAGGATTTGAAGTCATCACAAGAGTGAGTAAAGATTAGTATTAATATAGCTCTTATATTTTAACAGGAGAACATGTACTATAGAAATAGAAACTTAATTTTGGTGATATCTGCTTCTTTCCATAATCTGTTCTTAACAACTTTTTGCTAGTATATCTGACAATGAGTGCTTGTCCTGCCACTAAGTTCTTCATTTGTTCTCTATCTTATACTCTTTCTTGATTAATGTTGGATCTCTCTTCTTTGATTACCTTTTGATAATGAAGTTTGTTTCATTGGGTGCATAGCAGAGTGAGGAGCGAACCTTTCCTATTACCTCTTAGTTCTGTTCCTTACTTGCATGTTTTCTCATAGGCATCAGAGACAGCTAGTCAGGATACTACTTTTAGGGCTTTTATTCTCATGTAATACTTCCTTTTTTAAGTAAGATGGGTTTTGGCCTGAATTATGGCAGATCTTTATATGTGCTCAGTAAGATTTAAATTTGCTACAATTCTAGGCTTGTACATAGTTAGAAAACTATAAATATCTAAATTTTAGTGCTTAATTAAAGGGTTTATCTTGCAAATACTATTTTAAAATTACCAACATCTGTTAATTGAATAAAACACTATAGAAAATGCCGAGTGAAGCTAGTGGGTCATGAATCAATTCTGAGAAATACAAACTTTAGAAGAAAAGCTAATTTTTAGAATATGATTAATGGAATAATTATATATTCTCTCTTTTTAAATAATACAGCATATCATTTGGTTTGAAGGTTTCTTACAGAATTTACATGTTGAATGTTCTATACTTACATAATTGAACCCAAAATAGTAAAGAGCTTTCTTTTAATAACAAATATTTTTAGTCTGTGGGGTTTTCTGTTTCTGAATTTATAACCCAGTTTGTTGTGTGTTTAGTAGAAGGGAAATACATGTAATGCTAACTATTATAGTTAAACTAAACATGGGAAAATAAGGAACAATCTTAAAAGTATTAGAAGTCATGTCTGAAAAACAGTATTTTAAATTTAGTTTCTATATGCCTTTATTTCATTTCACTGGTTAAATATGTACTTATTATTGCTTAATCTTATTTTTAGATTGATTTGGGGGAACGCCCTGTTGTTCAAAGGAGAGAACCGGTATCACTGGAAGAATGGACTAAGAACATTGATTCTGAAGGAAGAATTTTAAATGTAGATAATATGAAGCAGATGATATTTAGAGGGGTAATTTAAACACTCTAATATGGCTTGTCTTATAAACTCCTAGTATTTAGGGGTTTTGTTGTTATCGTTACTGTTTTGGTGTGTTTTTTTTTGTTGTTGGTTTTTTTTTTTTTTGGTGGGGGAAGTAGGGAGGAATGAACTCTGTTATTTCTTTGATGAATGATGCCTTAAAATTCCTGGATTGAGTAGGACAGAGTGAGGTGCTTATGATGTTCCTGGGGGTTGGGTAGACCCTTAACTCTGGGGGAAGAATTCTTCCGTACTTGAAGTTCTGTGGGTTTTGTGAAGGAGGCCTGCATTCCAGTGGCATTTGCCTTATTCTGTAAGATTGGGCTTAGACTCACCAGTCACACTGTCTGTCTGCTGTAGTCTACTGTATTCTGTAGTCTACTGTATTCTGTGCACTGTTTAAACTTTCTGGCAGCTGCTTACATCTTTTGGATCTAGAAGTAAAAAACAAGATGATATTCACTGAATTGAACTATTTACATATATGAAACTACCTCTTAAAGATTAGTTTTCCTTTTTATATGCAAGTTTTGTGAACTTACAGTATTACATTCTTTTTCATTCATGTATTTAATATGTATGCTTTCTTCAGGGACTTAGTCATGCATTGAGAAAGCAAGCATGGAAATTTCTTCTGGGTTATTTTCCCTGGGACAGTACCAAGGAGGAAAGAACCCAATTACAAAAGCAAAAAACGTAAGTAATGGTCTTTCGTACATTTATCAAAGAGATTCAAGTAACCCACTCATACAAATTAGTATAGGGTTTCTAGATGAGGATTTGGAATAGACTGGGGAATGGAAAAACAACTTCATTTTTATGTTTTAACTTAAAAATTATGAGCATTCTAATTATTTTAAATCAGAAACTTACTAGAAGCACCTTTTTGCATTTATTTTTGTGAATATGTAAAAAGAAGATAAACATATTCCCTTATATAAGCCTTGTACAAGCCTTTTGCATACTTGAAAGATAACTACGTAGACATACACTTAAAAACATCTCTCATTCATCTTGATTCATTTTTATAATTCATTATGAAATTATAAATGGCTCATAAGAAATATATTTGCTATTTAGATTAATTACCTTTAAGTTACTTTTCTGATACTCTTATAATGGATCCTTCATTCTTTTTGGAAGAGTATTTCTATTTTAAGTTATTCCTCAGACTTGAAAGGAAACACAGACCAACTTTCCAGGTACAACTTCTTGTTCTCAGTTGTCAGTCTAGCCTTTGATTTAAAGCTATTTTCAGTCATTATGTGCATATTTAAGTTATCTGACAGTCTTCTCTTTTCAGCTTGTTTACCAGTTCTTCTAAGACATTTTTACATTAACTAGTTTCTGCAATAAACTGCTTGGAAATGGAACTATAATGTCACATTTTTTAAAAAAAAAGTCACTTAGATTTGTATTTACAATTATTTGGAAACTTTAGTGGTTAAAATATTTCATGACTAGAATACTTTTAGACATGATTTTAAGGATGAGATAAATGTTTTTGTAAAAGAATACCTAAAATTATTCTAGTAGTTGAACAAAGTTTATCACATAAACTTTGTGATATTTATCGGTTATTTTTTTCTTTTGTTTTCACTTATTTATCATAACTTTAAACGTTTTGCTATTGTTTTTATAAACTTACATTCCACTAGCATCATAAATGCTTTGATATACTGTTTATAGAAAAACCCAATTAAACAGTGTTAAAAATAAAGTTTTCAAATAGCTTTCTTTGATGTCAAATTGTTTTCTATAGTGATGAATACTTCAGAATGAAACTGCAGTGGAAATCCATCAGCCAGGAACAAGAGAAAAGAAATTCGAGGTTAAGAGATTATAGAAGTCTTATCGGTAATTTTTTCTTAACAACTTTGGAAATGCAAGGGGGGATTACATTGAAATCTTGATAAGAGTAAAGAAGTGAAGATACATGGTAATAGCACTAGGGCTCAAAAGAGAAATCAGAATAGGAAAGTACATTGCAGTGTGTGTTTAATGTTCTTTGTTGTTCCTCTTCCAATAGGCATATTAATTCAGTAAGTTTATTTATAAGTGTTGATATATTTAATTTTCAGTTCCAAAGTATGAATTTCTAAAAAGATTGTTTACCTTTATTTGCTTTTTGAATTAATTTCATTTTTAAAAAACTTTATTTTCTTTTTTATTATGAAAGTCTGTTTATTGTAGAAAAATTAACTGTAGATGAGCAAAAAGAGGTAAATAGAAATTATTTTTGTTTCTGTCACCCAGAGATAATTATGGTTAATAGGTATTGGTTTATATCCCTTCAGAACTTCTTTAAATATACATATATTTCATTTTTAAAATTAAATAAATGACTCCAGATATAAAATTTAGTATTTGAAAATAGAATATTTACCTGGGGATAACTATTCTCTAAAACACAGAGATGCTTGATAGAATTTTATCATTAAAGCATTAGTTGCATTTCATAATCTCCATTTACAAATGAGAAACTGAAGCATGGAGAACATAAATGACCTGTCCAAGGTCACACATGTCCCAGTTTAATGTTCTTATTACACTGTCTCTGTAATTTTAGGATAGCATTGGATAGTACTGGAACTTAGTTTTGAAATTCCTATATTGTATCTGGATTTGTATATCCGTGGTTTCATAAAGAATGATAGAGGGATTTGTTACTGCTGTTAACACCCTCCCATGAAAGAAATAATTTTTTAAATTATATTTAGAAAGCCCAACGTAACAGGCTGATTTGGTACCGTTTGTGGACATGAAAACAAGATCTTTTTGGCAGTGATACTTTTGATCCAAAAAGAATTTATTTTTCTGAAATGTAAATTATACCAGAATAAACTTTGTCCTTTCTCTGATTAAGGCGAAAGTTTGGGAGTCCTGAGTTTTGGAGTTTAATCTAAAGTTTCTAACTGAAGCTTCTTGATATTTTCAGTTTCAGTAGGAAAAACAATAAGGGATTCTGGTGTTTTACTCCTGCTTGAGCATAAAATATTCGAACTGGAAGGGAAGTTAGAGGTCAACTAAACCTGTATTTTAAGCCTCTTCTTTCTGCATGCCATATCCTCTTCCCTTTATATCAAGGATCAATGTTGATGTCTCTGATATTCTCAACCTTTCATGTCCTTTTCTGATCCTTTCCAGGAGACTGGTAGGAAAATTTAGATATTTAAAGTCCCCATAATGTAATTTGAATTGAGACATACTGTAGCCTACTTTGTTCATTTTTAGCAGATAAAGTTGAAGCCCAGAAAGGTTAGTCAGTTGTCTTAAGCCATCTATCTCGTTAGTTTTATAGTTCAGACTCATTCATACTCAGATCTAATTTTGAGTGGCCTTTCAGCTATACCATGCTTTCTGCCAGTAGAAGTGCATAAAATAAGTTAGTTTTAAAGCATTCTTTTTCTATAATGCTTTTTCCCAAATGTATTTTGAGAATGCTCATCAAAAGCTTTTTGGGTGGTATAAATTTACTTTTATTAAAAGCAAAACTACGCAGTAAGCTTTAGGTCTTGCATACATGCCAATAAGTTGGATTTTACTTTAAGTATGATGAGACTCTATTGGAGCATTTTAAGGAAGAGTATTTTATTTATATTTTAAAATCATTTTTACTGCTTTGTGGAAATTCAATCAAAGTAAGAGTAGGAATAGGGAGACCAGTTAGTGGAAAGCATAAGTTCAGGCAATAAATGGTAGTAGAGGAGGTAAAAAGAAGTAGGTGAGCCCGGCCATGGTGGCTCACACCTGTAATCCCAGTATTTGGGAGGCTGAGGTGGGAGGATCACTTGAGCCTATGGGGTTGAGGCCACAGTGAGCTGCGATTGTGCCACTACACTCCGGCCTGGGTGACAGAGCGAGACCCCTTCTCAAAACAAAACAAAACCAAAAAAAGTAGGTGGATTCAAGTTATATTTTGGTGATAGAGTTGATAAGACTTTCTGATATATGAAATATGGGGTGTGAAGGGGAAAGAGAAATAAAAAATAGGACTCAGTTTCTGACTAGAAAACGGGCAGTTAGTGATACCCCTTATGGAGATGAGAAATGGGGTATGGTGAAATTGAATTAAGTGTTAAGGTATATATACCTTAAGGTGAAATATACAAATGGAATGTCAAGTAGGTAGTTGAATAGTCTGGACTAGTCTGGCAGGAGATAGAAGTTTGGGTATTATCAGTATAAATATCCATGGAAACATGTGCCACCTAGTGGAAAAAGAGACAGTTAAGAAGGCTCAGGAATCCCAGTTTTTAAAGCAGTGGTTTTTAACTTTGGCAACACATTAACCCATTTATGCCTAGTGTTCCATTATTGGAACACTAAGCTTGTGGGAGTTATTTGTATCCTGCTGCTCAAGGTCATCTCCAAGGTCTGATTTTTCACACACAAAAATTCGCAACCTCTGGCATAAATGGGTTTAAATCACCAAGGGATATTTCTGAAAACCAAATTGATTATTTCAAGCATTCATACACTCATTCATTCTTTCAATAAGTTATTACTTAGTGCCTATTATGTACTAGGCTCTCCTCTAGGCATTAGGGATTCATCACTGCACAAAACAGGCAAAATTCTTGCCCTAAAGGAGTTTTCATTCCTGTGGAAGAACAGACAGTAAACAAGTTAAGTAAGTAACATATGTGGTATGTTAGTGATACATGCCAAATAGAAAAATAAGGCAAGGAAAAGGGTTAGGATGTTTGTGTGCAATGTTGCCATTTTAACTTGGGCAAGCAGAGACAGCTTTTAGTAGGAAAGTGATATTTGAATAGAAACTTGAAAAAGGGAGGGGGTTCTCTTACCACTCCTGTTCAGTGTAGTATTGGAAGCCCTAGCCAGAGCAATCAGGCAAGAGAAAGAAATAATGGGCATCCAGATGGGAAGAGAGGAAGAGCAACTGCTTGATATAAAGGGAAGAGAATATGGCATATGGATATTGCTGGGTTTTTTGTCTTTCAAGAGACAGATTCTTGCTTGTCACCCAGGCTGGAGTGCAGTGGCACAATCATAATTCACTGCAGCTGGGCTCAAAGGATACTCCAGCCTCAGCCTCCCAAGTAGCTGGGGCTGCATGCACGCACCATCACACCCGGCTAATTTTTAAATTTTTTTGTACAAATAGGGTCTCACTATGTTTCCCAGGCTGGTCTCCAACTCCTGGCCTCAAGCAATTCTCCCATCTCAGTGTTGCAAAGCATTGGGATTATAAATATGAGCCACTGTGCCCAGCCAATATTGCTGTTTTTTTTGTTTTTGTTTTTTACTAAGATGGGAAAAACTGTTAGAGAAGAAAGTCTGGAAGGGAATATTTAGAATTCAGTTTTAGACTTTAATTTTGAGATGCCTATATTGAATGTCTGTAAGTTAATATGTTGAGTTGAATGTGGATATATGGGGCTGGAATTCATGGGACTGGAGATAAATTTAGGGGTCATCAACATAGATAGTATGAGATTACATAAAACCATGAATTATGAAACTAGATTACCTCAAAAAGTAGGCATCAAAGGTACATAACCTCAAAATAATAAGAGCCATCTATCACAGACCCACAGCCAACATCATACCAAACAGGCAAAAGCTGGAAGCATTCCCCTTGAGAACCAGAACAAGACAAGGATACCCACTCTGACACTTTTATTCAGCATGGTACTATAATCAGGCAAGAGAAAGAAATAAAAGGCATCCAGATAGGAAGAGAGGAAGTCACCCTCTCTTCACAGGCAATATGACACTATACCTAGAAAACCCCATAGTCTCTGCCCAAAGGCTCCTAGATCTGATAAACAACTTCAGTAAAGTTTCAGTATACAAAATCGATGTGCAAAAATCAGTAGCATTGGTATACACCAACAACGTCCAAGCCGAGAGCCAAATGAAGGATGTGATCCCATTCACAGTAGGCACAAAAATAATAAAATACCTAGAAATACAGCTAACCAGGGAGGTGAAAGAACTCTGCAATGAGAATTACAAAACACTGCTGAAGGGAATCAGAGATAACACAAACAAATAGAAAAACATTCCATACCATGGATTGAAAGAATATTGTTTAAAATGGCCGTACTGCCCAAAGCTATTTATAGATTCAGTGCTATTCCTGTCAAACTACCAATGACATTTTTCACAGAATTAGAAAAAAATTCATATGCAACCAAAAAAGAGCCCAAATAGCCAAAGCAATCTTAATGCAAAATGAAGAAAGTTGGAGGCGTCATACTACCTGACTTCAAACTATACTGCAAGGGTATAGTAACTAAAACAGCATAGTCCTGGGACGAAAAACAGGCACATAAAGCAACGAAACATGTTAGAGAACCCAAAAATAAAGCCACACATCTACAGCCATCTGATCTTCGACAGAGCTGACAAAAACAAGCCACAGGGAAATGACTCCCTATTCAATAAATGTTCCTGGGATAACTGGCTAGCTATATGCAGAGGTATTAAACTGGACCCCTACCTTTCACCATATACAAAAATCAGTCAAGATGGATTAAAAACTTAAATGTAAAACCTGAAACTATAAAGACCCTAGAAGAAAATCTAGGAAATACCATTGAGGATATCGACCCAGGCAAAGACTTCATGAAGAAGACTCCAAAAGCAATTACAACCAAAACAGAAATTGACAAGTGGGACCTAATTAAAGAGCTTGTGTACAGCAAAAGAAACTATCAATCAACAGGGTAAACAGACAAGCTACAGAATGGGGAAAACATTTGCAAAGTATGCATCCTTCAAAGGTCTAATACCCAGAATCTGTAAGGAACTCAAATCAACAAGCAAAAACAACCCCATTAAAAAATGGGCAAAGGACATGAGCAGACTTTTTTTTTTGAGACGGAGTCTCGCTCTGTTGCCCAGGCTGGAGTGCAGCAGTGCAATCTCGGCTCACTGCAACCCCTGCCTCCCGGGTTCAAGCAATTCTCTGCGTCAGCCTCCCGGGTAGCTGGGATTACAGGTGCCCACCACCACGGCAGGCTAATTTTAGAATTTTTTTTTAGAAGAGACAGGATTTTACCATCTTGGCCAGGCTGGTCTTGAACTCGTGGCCTTGTGATTCACCTGCCTTGGCCTCCCAAAGTGCTGGCATTACAGGTGTGAGTTACCATGCCTGGCTGCAGACACGTCTTAAAAGAAGACATAAACACTGCCAACCAACATATGAAAAAGTGCTCAATATTACTAGTCATTATGGCAATACAATTCAAAACAACAATGAGATACCATCTCCTACTAGTCATGATGGCTGTTACTAAAAAGTCAAAAAATAACAGATGCTGGTGAGGTTTTAGAGAAAAGGGAATGCTTATACAGTGCTGGTGGGAAAGTAAATTAATTCAGCCACTGTGAAAAGCAGTCTAGAAATTTCCCAAAGAACTTAAAACAGAACTACCATTCGACCCAGCAATCCCATTACTGGATATATGTCCAAAGGGGTATAAATCGTTCTACCACAAAGGTAAATGCACATGTATGTTCATAGCAGCACTATTTGACAACAGAGAAGACATGAAATCAGCCTAGATGCCCATCAGTGGTGGACTGGATAAAGAAAATATACATATGCACCATAGAATGCTATGCAGCCATAATAAAGAGATCGTAGCCTTTGCAGCAACATAGATGGAACTGGAGGCCATACTCCTAAGTGAATTAATGCAGAAAACCAATACCACATGTTCTCACTACAAGTAGGAGATAAACATTAAGCACACGTGGACACAAAAAAGGAAACAGTAGACACTGGGGCTGTTTGAGAGTGAAGGGTGGTAGGAGGGTGAGGATTGAAAAACTACATATTGGGTGTTATGCTCATTACCTGAGCGGCAAAGCTATCTGTACACCAAACCCCCATGACACACCATTTACCTGTGTAACAAACTTGGCAATGTACCCCTTGAAACTAAAATACAACTTGGGAGGAAAAAAAATAGATTAAATTGCCAAGGGAGTAGTACAGTTACAAAAAAAGAACTGAGCCCTGGGGCACTTTAATTTACAAGTAGGAAAAATTAGAAGACAGCAGAAGAGACTAAGTAAAGAGCCACAGAGAAAGATTGAAAACATCAAAGTTTGATGTCCTAAAAGACAAGTGAAGAAAGTATTTCAAGAAGGGATAATTGGGATGCCAAGTAAGATTATTTAAATTGACCATTGCATAGAGGAATAAGGAGATCACTGGAGATTTTGATTAAAGAAGAATTTTGATGGATTGGTGCATGTGATAACCTGATTAGAGTGAATTGAAGAGAAAATAGAAGAAGACTTGGAGACAATACCTACAGCTCTTTCAAGGAGTTTTGCTGTAAACAGATGTAGAGAAAATGAGCTAGCAGAGGGAAAAGTAGGATTAAGAAAGGTTTTTAATGATGTTGAAAGAAATAATGTAAGGTTGAATACTATGGGAATGGTACAGTAGAAAGGAAAAACTGGTAAAACTGAAGAGGGAGGTAATTACTAGAGTAACTAGATAGAAATTACTAGAGTCCTTGGGTAGTCAATAGGGGATGGTTCTCATGCACAAGAGGAGGGGTTGGTCTTTGCCACAGAGTTATGGAAACTCATTTATAGTGTTAGGAGAGCAGGGAGACTATATAAATTCAAACATGGTTGTATGCTTAGAATAGTGGGAACCTGTGAAAGTTCTCTCATAGTTTCATTTTCTCAGAAATAGGAAGCAGAGTCCTTATCTGAGTTAGGATGTGGGAGAAGGTGGAGGCTTGAAGAGAAAGGAAGTATAAAATAATTGTATGAATGGGGAGTGAATGGACAAGGGAAATAGAGCAGGATTGCCAAACAGCATTCAGGACCCACTTGATGTTAGTGATGGTGAATATAAAATGGGGTCAGTCAACGTGGTTGTGTTTTTCTTCAGCCTTTTTTTAGCTACATCAGATTAGATGGAGAGTTGGATTTAATAAGAGGTTTTTGTTTTTAACTGAAGTACTCCTTTTCAGAAATGGGGTTTCTAGAAATAATTATAAAATAACATTTTTATATATTACTTTTTATCCCTTTTCTGTTTTTCACCTGGCTTGTCACTATTAAATATTTTTACAAGAAGAAATACTGATAGTTCATGAGAATACAAACAACTTTTTTTTACTATGTTTAAAATACGTATTAAGGCAGATATTCTGTATTGGCATTATGGTAATATAAATTATGCTTGAGTTAATAAAAATTAACTTATGAACTTTATCAACTGTGAAATGAGACAGAAGCAGTTTGACTTTTTTTTCTTTTTGAGTCGGGGTCTCACTGTGTCACCCAGGCTGGAGTACAGTGGTGCCATCACGGCTCACTGCAGCCTCAACTTCCTGGGCTCAGATGGTTCTCCAACCTCAGCCTCCTGAGTAACTGGTACCACAGGCAGGCGTCACCATGCCTGGGTAATTTTTGTATTTTTTGTAGAGACAGGGTTTTGCCATGTTGCCCAGGCTGGTCTTGAATTCTTGGGCTTAAGCAGTCCTCCTGTTTTGGCCTCCCAAAGTGCTGGGATTATAGGCATGAGCCACTGTACCTGGCCCATTTTGACATTTCTAATTGCAATTTTATATAAATAGCATGAGTTTTTTGGTATTACTTTTGCTTATTTGAGAACTGTATCCACAATTCTGTATGTATTTGCTTGCTTTTTAAAAATCAAATGTAGTACATTTTAACAGAAAGCTAAAATATTTGAATAATTTTTTAAATGCCCTTACAGAATCTAATTAAGCTCACATCATACCCTGTTGTTAGATTCTACTCTGTTGTATCTCCTTATCTTTTTTTTAATTATTACTATTTTTGAGACAGAGTCTCACTCTGTGACCCATGCTAGAGTGCAGTGGTGGGATCTTGGCTCACTGCAACCTTTGCCTCCCGGGTTCAAGCGATTTTCATGCCTCAGCCTTCTGAGTAGCTGAGATTACAGATGCACACCAGCATGCCCAGCTAATTTTTGTATTTTTGGTAGAGACAGGGTTTCGCCATGTTGGCCAAGCTGATCTTGAACTCCTGACCTCAGGTGATCCACCTGTCTCGGCATCCCAAAGTGCTGGGATTACAGGTGTGAGCCACCACACCTGACCTCCTCATCTCTTTGTAAAGAGTTTTGAGAAAGTTTTCAGGTTACTCAGTTTAATTGAGGGGAGGCAGTTATCACTTTTAAACAATTGATTCTACAGTAAATTAATCAAGAGTTTGTTTAAGTTACTTCTTCCTAATTTACTGAGAGATTCAAGTTTGGAGAATGCCTTGTGGTAAAGTCTCTCACATCGTGATGCACTTAGTAGGCATCAGTGTTTGTGAATTGAATTGTCGGTGCAACTTTGGACACATTGATGATGATGTTTCCAAATCTGTTTCTCATGAAGTCATTTCCAACTTATAATGACATCTAAAGTAAATGTTGTAGATATGAAAATAAGGAAATAATTTGTCCTAAAGATGATTGAGACATGACAAAGAATTTGATTATACTTCTTATAATAAATGCAGTAATTGTGAATGAAACAAATCTCTTTGATTATGCTTGATTAGGTGGTAGCTTTTTTTTTTTTTTATTAGTTTTCAAGTACTGGTATCTATGACATGCATTAATGACTGGCATTTTTGTTGCTAATGCAAATTATTACTTAGTGTTGCTTTTAATTCATTGAAAATGTTTTCCACTATGCAGTTAAAAGGTTTCTATGTTTAGATAATAATTGAAAAATATTTTAAAATCTGCCCATGAGGAGGACTGATTCTTGAAAAAATTCTGAAATGTTACTTTATTGCATATTTGAAATAGAATTTGATGAATTTTTTCTTCATTAAGTAAAGCTTGGTGAGTGAAATTAATAGCAAGAAAAATGACTCTGTACTTGTAAGATGTGAGCTTTATCACAATCTGTTTTTTGGAAGCTTTTCAAATATGTGATGATTTTCCTCTTCAGAAAAAGATGTTAACAGAACAGATCGAACAAACAAGTTTTATGAAGGCCAAGATAATCCAGGGTTGATTTTACTTCATGACATTTTGATGACCTACTGTATGTATGATTTTGATTTAGGTAAGTTCTCTAAAGTTCTAATTTTAAAAGATGTAAATATATTTACTTTAGAGTTTACATTTTTAATCCAGTTAGACATGGGTAATAGCTTTGTAGGCCTAGTTTTAAGAGAATTTGTTCTCCAGGGGACTGGAAACTTACAAGGCTATGGTTCTCAACCAAGGAGCCCTGGGTTGCTGCAGCAAACTAACAGGAGCACCATGGGATATTTAAAATTTTTAAGGGAATTATAAAGACATCTATAGGACACCACTCTAACTACTAGCTGAAATAGCTAAAGGTTTTAACATTAGATCATTACATTCTTTTTGATGAAGTTATATCTTTGCAAAGCTGGGTTTTTGGCCTTGCTGTGATAAGTACTGTGTAAAAATAAATGATGAAAATAAATGAGGATGGTGATAGCCAGTTGAATTTTAAGGTTTGAGAAGTATTGTAGTGCTCAGTAGGTGATAAGCACATAGGATATGAATACTTATTCAGTTGTTTTGACCTAACTGCTTAATAAATGGAGTTGTTATTTCTTTGAGACTTAGGAGTGCCTTGGGAAAAATTGCTGGGATACTAAGGATGATAACCATGAACTGAGAAAGTTTGCAAACCGTTGTTTGATATGCTTTTCCCGTTGTGAAGAAAAATACTGATTTGATATTTTAGACAAGCAGTGCAAAAATTTTGTAGGGCATGTAGAACTTACTCTTTTTTTGGTAAATCTCTTTACCAGAAATTTGTTGTAAGAACTGATGCCGGGGCTGGGTGCGGAGGCTCACGCCTGTAATCCCAGCACTTCAGGAAGTCAAGGCAGGTGGATCACCTGAGGACAGGAGTTCAAGACCAGCCTGGCCAACATGGTGAAACCCCATCTCTACTAAAAATACGAAAGTTAGATAGGCTGGGTGGCACACGCCTGTAATTCCAGCTACTCAGGAGGCTGAGTTAGGAGAATCGCTTGAACCTGGGAGGTGGAGGTTGCAGTGAAACGAGATCACGCCGCATTACACTCCAGCCTGGGTGACAGAGCGAGACTCTGTCTCAAGGAAAAAAAAGAACTGACGGTGGAAGTAGAAGTGTGAAATTACCTGGGGGAGGGACGCTAAGGGGTAGAAAACTTAAGGAACCATTATTTTAAGGGGCAAGAGAACTTAAGATATTTATTTAAAGAACCAACAGCTTGTCTAACCATCAACCTTTAAATAAGTATAAATACTAGAAATGTTTGACTTATCTGCTATGTGAGTGGCTTCTAGCTAAAGGATAGTGGAAATAATGTTTTCTAGATTAGTAACGCTTGAGACATCCTTTAGAGAAGGTGGTTGGATACTTAGCACATTAAAACTAAATGAACCTTGAATTATGGGCACATTTTCTTCACTGTTCATAAATATGTAAATTTCTCTTGGTTTCCCATATGTAAGTTAGGGGAAGATATAATCTCTGTTTTGATCTTGAGGTATCAGCCTCTTTGGTGACAGTAAGTCAAAAGTTGCAGAGTTTTCTTTAAAATTTAAAATGTAGTCAGTCCTGTCTATGAGAACCTATAATGAGCTTCAGATTGAATTGTTGCAAGAATATTAATAGAGTGCTTTTCAGGTTACAGAGTGCTTTCATACTTGATTTGATTTTTAATTCTCGTAGCAGCCTTTTGAAAAAGTGGGGAAATCTCACTTTATGAGTAAGGTTATTTTGATTCAGAGTGTGACTTATGGTCACACAAGTAAATAATTGGTCTGGGAGTAGAGACCCAGGTTTTTATTGCAGGCTGGAATTCTTACCTCTACACCTTCAGCGCTTCAAACTCTTGCCATTTATTTTAGTTTCTGTTACCACTGTAGGGAATAGGACCATTCTCCTTGGGAACAGAAGGCATTGCTCCATTCTCTCAGATGGTAATTTTGAGATAGAAATTCATATGTATTCTGTAGCAGGAGTTCCTGAATGCTTAATTTTCTTAGGACATTGTCCCAAACCAGCTAACTGGATAACTTACCATCTCCATTTGTTTATACTAATGTCACATTCTTTCTATATAGACATTTCAGTTACCTGAAACATAGTCAAGCTTCCTGTGGATAACTGGCCTTATAGAAGCCAAGATACTTTTTATAAAAGCAATAGACAACATTTCTTACTCTTTACTCATAGCAGAGCAACCTGGACTGTAAATTTACTCTGTCTTGTAGGTGATTTCATTATATGGAGTTTGGCTTCTTAACCCATAGGTGAGGTATAGGTGTATTTGCATTGAATACAGTCTCAGTAGGGAGGAGTGAGACAAAAATTATCAAAAGCAGACAAAAGAATTTAAGGAAGGGTGATTTCGAGTTAGTGAATGCGGATACTACAGAAAGTTTCTGTGGGTGGTATCATTGCAGGGTATGTAATGGTGATACTGAATAATCAATGAAAGGTTAAATTAGGAGAGTGTCTAATGTTTTTTAAGAATGATTTCTGATCCTCAAGATTTTTGTTTTTTAATTTGATACTCTAAAGGATAAGCTTCAGTAACCTGGAAAATTGAACTATATGTTGTTTAAATTTTTCTTTTTGGTGTAAGCAAGTGTACAGTAGGATGATAAGGTGTTCATTTCTCGCCTGCCCCCCACTGCCTACACTGAAACAAATTTGCTATGGAAGTAATTTTAGGGAAGTACTTTAGAAATTGTACTGGTGCTGATTAAGATATGCATCATTCAGTTGTACTGCAGACTCTGAGATCACTAAATGCCAATTTAAATATATTTAATCTTTCTTTAATTAAAAGGAATTTGTACATTAATTCCACCCCCTACAACCCATGACATACCCCAAAGAACATAATGTATAAAATAAAATAGCTTAGGGTTTTTATGGTTTTAGGTCTAATGTTTGTGTCTTTAATCCATCTTGAATTAATTTTTGTATAAGGTGTAAGGAAGGGATCCAGTTTCAGCTTTCTACATATGGCTAGCCAGTTTTCCCAGCACCATTTATTAAATAGGGAATCCTTTCCCCATTGCTTGTTTTTCTCAGGTTTGTCAAAGATCAGATAGTTGTAGATATGCGACGTTATTTCTGAGGGCTCTGTTCTGTTCCATTGATCTATATCTCTGTTTTGGTACCAGTACCATGCTGTTTTGGTTACTGTAGCCTTGTAGTATAGTTTGAAATCAGGTAGTGTGATGCCTCCAGCTTTGTTCTTTTGGCTTAGGATTGACTTGGCAATGCAGGCTCTTTTTTGGTTCCATATGAACTTTAAAGTAGTTTTTTCCAATTCTGTGAAGAAAGTCATTGGTAGCTTGATGGGGATGGCATTGAATCTATAAATTAACTTGGGCAGTATGACCATTTTCACGATATTGATTCTTCCTACCCATGAGCATGGAATGTTCTTCCATTTGTTTATATCCTCTTTTATTTCATTGAGCAGTGGTTTGTAGTTCTCCTTGAAGAGGTCCTTCACATCCCTTGTAAGTTGGATTCCTAAGTATTTTATTCTCTTTGAAGCAATTGTGAATGGGAGTTCACTCATGATTTGGCTCTCTGTTTGTCTGTTATTGGTGTATAAGAATGCTTACCATTCAGGACATAGGCATGGGCAAGGACTTCATGTCTAAAACACCAAAAGCAATGGCAACAAAAGCCAAAACTGACAAATGGGATCTAATTAAACTAAAGAGCTTCTGCACAGCAAAGGAAACTACCATCAGAGTGAACAGGTAACCTACAAAATGGGAGAAGGTTTTCACAACCTACTCATCTGACAAAGGGCTGATATCCAGAATCTACAATGAATTTGAACAAATTTACAAGAAAAAACAAACAACCCCATCAAAAAGTGGGCGAAGGACATGAACAGACACTTCTCAAAAGAAGACATTTATGCAGCCAAAAAACACACGAAAAAATGCTCACCATCACTGGCCATCAGAGAAATGCAAATCAAAACCACAGTGAGATACCATCTCACACCAGTTAGAATGGCAATCACTAAAAAGTCAGGAAACAACAGATGCTGGAGAGGATGTGGAGAAATAGGAACACTTTTACACTGTTGGTGGGACTGTAAACTAGTTCAACCATTGTGGAAGTCAGTGTGGCGATTCCTCAGGCATCTAGAACTAGAAATACCATTTGACCCAGCCATCCCATTACTGGGTATATACCCAAAGGACTATAAATCATGCTGCCATAAAGACACATGCACACGTATGTTTATTGTGGCACTATTCACAATAGCAAAGACTTGGAACCAATCCAAATGTCCAATAATGATAGACTGGATTAAGAAAATGTGGCACATATACACCATGGAATACTATGCAGCCATAAAAAATGATGAGTTCATGTCCTTTGTAGGGACATGGATGAAACTGGAAATCATCATTCTCAGTAAACTATCGCAAGGACAAAAAACCAAACACCGCATGTTCTCACTTATAGGTGGGAATTGAACAATGAGAACACATGGACACAGGAAGGGGAACATCACACTCTGGGGACTGTTGTGGGGTGGGGGGAGGGGGGAGGGATAGCATTAGGAGATATACCTAATGCTAAATGATGAATTAATGGGTGCAGCACACCAGCATGGCACATGTATACATATGTAACTAACCTGCACATTGTGCACATGTACCCTAAAACTTAAAGTATAATTTAAAAAAACTGTAAAAATAAAAAAAATAAAATAGATTAAAGGCAACCAGAACATGAAGATTAATTTGACAACTTGCTTCAGCTAAGACTTAACAGAAGAAATATGTAGTGATTCCATAAGAAAGCTGAAGACTTAAAGGATTAAATTGGCTTCTTAGGAATTTTTATTCATTATAACTTAATAATAAAGCACTTTTTAAGAGAGGAAGGGTGCTTTGTAAATCTTTTGAATAGCACACTTTGAAATATTTCTGATGTAGATCATACACAGTCAGGCTCAGTAACGTAGTACTCTTGCACTTTGTTGAATTCAGATTAGATTTCCTTCATGCTTTAATTGGTTTAGCCTTTATTTTTTGTCATTGATTTCACTGTGTCAGGTAGGAAAGTTCTGATGATAACAATTTAGTCTTCCATCTATCTTATTCTTTTTTTAAAAGTGTGCATTATTTTAGAAACCATCTGTGTAAATTTAGATACCTTGTTGTATGTCACTTTTGTCTAGCTTTTTTCTCTAAATGTCTTGGTAACTTCATTGTCTGGTACTGTAATAATTGGATGTCCTCCATGAGAACCCACGTGCCCTTTTATGCTAAATTGAGTAGAGCTATATTTTCCCACAGGGTGCAGTGTAGACAGAGTGAGGTTAACAGGACTGTGGAAAGATGTGGTGGTAAGATGATTGGACAGAGGCTCACAGCAAATTGAGCTGAAACTTTATTTGTAAGGAGATTCTGAGGTGATCTGAGTGCTTCTGTCTGTTGTGTGTTTGATCTGAGTTTTCTCAAGAGATTTAGTTTACCTGCTTTCTGAGATCATTTTTTAAAGTTTTCCTCCAAAACAGAGTAATGTGTAATTATGTATCATTTATATGATAGCAGAACTATCTCCTCCCTCTTTCATTAAATATTTACTTTTACATGGCTTCAGTGCAGATAGATTTTGGTGAATAAAAATGTAAACTTTGGATTCGCAAATGAAAGACTATTTTCCAGACTTCCCAAGCTACCAATAAAGAAATTTCTACATGATTTTAATAAATACACAAAAGTTACCGAAGTTGAATGATAACGTTTAAGTAAAAAGGCTTAGTATAAGTTCGTGTCCCTTCATTGGTTCAAGAACCTCTTAAGTCTGAAAATTTTTCAAGTCTTGAAAATTGTAAAACAAGGATAATTGAGGGTTTTATAAGAGGAAGTAAAAAAGAAGTTTGACATGTTCAGGTGAAAAAGTAAAACTAACACTTTTTCTTATTTTTAAGTGAGGGATCTGACTCCTTAATTTTCTAGTTTTTCTTTTAATCAAGGGCTCTATTACTGTCACCATTGAGAAATTGTAATAATATCAAGAGACATGTAGGTAAGTGGTCACTTTAGGTACAAAATATTGATTGGGTTAAGCCCAGTTGCTGGCATTGGTTGGGTGTAGAGAGTAACAAAAAAAGAAAGAAGGACGTAGATATGACTATTTAAAAGAGGCTCTTAATTTTGTAACTCCTGTTATGTGAATCTAAAGGTCTGATTGTTAAAGCAGTTGAACCCAAAGTTCTTGTTTTATGTGGCTTACTCATGGTAGTTTGGCATTGCTAACCACTCTGGGCTTGCAACTTTCTTGTTAATTTTTGCAACATTATTCTCGCTTGATTTTTTTCTTTACTTCTCTGACTGGTCTTTCTTAAACCTGTCTTTGAGTGTATACTCTTACATTTGATGTTCCTCTGGATTATCTCTTCACCCCTCTTCTTTCTCATGATGCTCTTGCACATTATTTTTAAAAATATTACCCACTCTTGATAGTGTATCTGCACTGAGACACGTACTGGAAGCTATATATTGTTTGACATCTCAATCTAAAACAACTCATCTTTCTTACTTATGACTAGAGTTCCTCCTCTTCATTTATATTCTTTTCTTGGTGAACATCAGTGTCTACCAATTTCTAAATGCAAAGGAGAAAGATACAATTTTAAGCGAAATGGTGGTGATATGCACAACTTGCAGAAGGTTACATAAAACTTGGGTTTTCAGAGATGATTTTTTCTTTTCTTTTTAGGATATGTTCAAGGAATGAGTGATTTACTTTCCCCTCTTTTATATGTGATGGAAAATGAAGTGGATGCCTTTTGGTGCTTTGCCTCTTACATGGACCAAATGGTAAGAACAGAGATTCCTTCCATTAAACTGATTTTTAAAATTTTAGTTGTATAATTTTATAGTATAAGGTTGATTTTTATATTTAGCCAACTATGATGGAACTTAAAAAAATTACCTCATGCCTTTTGTTACTTTTTCTTTTTAGTAGCCTTTCAAGGGCTTAGAAATACTGGTGGTATTTTTAATACAGGAAATAGTTTGTGCCTGTAGTATAGGAATAATCAGGATTTAATATCAGTAAATGCTTATTTTCTACTAAAGAGCCATGTGTCATTACAGAATATTGATAAAATAGATGAATTCAATTTTGTGGAATAGTTGAACTTTAATATCATCTGTTTCAGAGATAAAGCTTAGTCATGCCAAGTAATATCCTTACCTTTTGTGAAGATTTTGAATTTTGTCATTATAGTAACTGATTTTTCTCCAGATGTGTTTGAACTATTTGTAACTCTGACACTTTCTTAGGAATTCATTGTTATTTTCCCAGAAGTATGTGATTATTAGAATTGAACTGTCTATATATACATGTTAGTACAAAGAACATTTTATCTATTATCATTGTTAAATCTTTGAGACAGAGTTCTAGGATAATAGTGCAGAGAATATTGACAGGAAAATAAAAGAAAAGTCTCTTCAAGCAATCTCAGAAAAATAAAAGCAGAAGGGGTGAGACTAGATAAAGGCAGATGAAGTCCAAAGACCTGACTACATAGAGGTTGCTGTGTTTTTTCAAAATAACACTAACATACTGGATGCTGGGCCTTTATGTTGGATATTGAAATGGCTGGCTTGCTTGCAAGGGATAAACATTTTGAATCTAACCATCTGAAATATTTTCCTGTAATACAGGGTTTAACTCAGAGTTTCTGGGATACAAATGTGAAATTTGGAAGTGGTACCCTTCTCCTTTTTTCTTTACTTCTATTCTTTCCCTTTTGCTTGCCTATTTTTCTTTCTCCTTCAAATTTTCCCTGCTTGTGGCTATTTCCCCAAATCTCTTGTCCATAGATTCAACTTGTTTTTGCTTCTTTCAGTTTTTTTCTAAATGTATACTTGGTAAGATTTGATAGATTTAAAATGTTCTTTTACATTAAATTCATGAATATTCAAATTGGTTTTTTGCCATAAATTAATTTTTTTTGACTATTTGGAAGGATTATCAATGCAGTAATTTGGTAATGTCATAGTTTGTCTTCCTTCCTTTTTTGATTGATTTGTCTACCTTCTTAGTTCCATTTACTCCCAAGTGCTCTAGAAACCTGAGGCATTTGTTATAAAGGTCTGTACAGCTGATACTAATTACATAAAAACTGTTGTCTGCCTTCCTTGTGTTTTTGTTGTTTATCCTCTTTTCACCAGAGCTAGTATGTTCCTTGATAAAAGGGATTATATCTTGTTTCACTGGTAGCATACCAGAATTTTCCTAATGCCTGACATGAGGTTGTTCAACGGGTTTTTGTAGAATAAACATGTGAATCTTTCCCCAGTGATTAGTTTAAATTGCTATAGTAGATATTCTAAAAAAAAAAAAAAAAACACAACTAAGATGAACATACTGCATTTAGTATCATGCAATAAGTTTTCAATAAAACTAATCCAATATTGGCATGTAAATATATATTGACATATAATGCCACATACACACATGCATACAGACGTGTGTATATAGGTCTCATATGTAAAGACTACCTTCTGAACATGTGTAATAAACACTTTACAGTCCGTCATTTTTTGTGTATGAAGGTTCAGTTTCTTTGTTCTGTCATTTTCACAGTAAATGCTCTCTGTGTTTGCCTTTTCCATTAAGGATGTTCTGGGGATTTTTCTAGTCTTTATTCTAAAAAAGATATCTTATGATTATGTTGTCTGCTAACATCTTTTCTTTCATAATATTTGAATGAGAGGGAAATATATGGCAATCAAAATAACCTGTATGATTGTTTTTCACTGCATTGCCCTTGTTTGATGTCCCTAAATCTGTGCTGCTGTTTCTTGATTCTGTGTTTCTGTTTTATAGCTTTACTTCATGTAAGTTTGTACTACCTTTGTGGTGGCTGAACCTAACGTCTGTAAATTTACTTTTGTTGATGTTTACTTGCATCTAATGTAGGTCTAGGCATAGACTTTGTCTATTATCATGGAAATACAAAGTACAAGTGATCTGATGAACTTTGTTATACCCATCATCCATTTTGCCATATAGTTTTAATTCCTTTCTCCTCTCCATCTCCCCCTCCCCTGCCCCATACAGACACATTTATTTACAGACACATTTGAAGCCCTTTGTATATCCATTGTTGATCCCACTCTCCCTTCTCCAGGAGTAACCACTTTTTCGAATATGGTGTCTGTCATTATGGACATGTTTCTTTTTTACAGCAGAGTGGGTAGCAAATGTCTATGCCATGTTGGTATTCCCAGATCAGCTCTAGTCTTTGACTGTGTCACAGCAAAAATGATCCTGTTAATCAGAGTTGATTCTGCCCCTTCTCTATAGATCTCTCTGGTAAATGTGGAGGAACTATATCCTAAAGCCTTGAGTTAGTCTATTAATAAACTGGTTTTTAAAATTCATTAAAGAGAAACAGCTTATTGAGAATTAATAGACTTAAATTTTTTTTAAGAATGAATTGTTTCTAATATGATAGTTCTAATAAAGCACTATTGTACTGTAAAAGTGAAAAAGTAAGTGTGAAGGAGGAAATGTTTTTCTAAGGCTTTCACTAGGGTTAGGGCGGTAGGTTACCACAGAGGGATCGGGACATATGAGTTAAAGGGATCCAAATCATTTAAGAAGCCTTTCAGAGCATCAGTTTTGGTGCCTTCTGGCCCCTTGACTCAGGTGTTGGTAGGGAGTCTACTCAACTATGAAGTTTCTTTAAAGCATATGAACCCCAGCAGTTCCCAAACTTTGTGACCTCAGGGCCCCTTCACACTCTCCAATATTATTGAAGACCTGAAAGAGTTTTTGTTTATGTGGGTTATATCTGTTGATGTTTATGTGAAAAATTAATACTGAGAAACTTGTATTCATTTATTTATTAATTCATTAAATAACAACACATTCTACCTTAACATAGATCACTTTTTTTTAATGAAAAGTAACCTTTCCTAATGAAAAATTTACCGACACAAGAGATTGTTTTAAATTTTTCATTTTTAAAAATGTCTGGTTTAATAGAAGACAGCTGAATTTTCATATTTGCTTCTGTGTTCAGTCTTTTGGAGTATCACACATCATACAGCCTTTGCACTTGTGAAAGAATTTAAGTATGAAATCCAGATAATGTTTTAGTATTGTCCTGAAAATGGTTTTGGCTTTACAGATTCTCCAATGTAAAGTAATTCTTTAAAATGAAATACATACTAAAACTAAAATTAATTTTATTATGTATAATTTGAAGGAATATTTAACAATGGAAAGAATTTGATAAATATTTATTTCCCAAATGTGTGTTTCTTTCACCAAGTCTTTTATGCTGTGTAAGAAATAAATAGTCAGTCTGCAGTTGCTATGTCTGCATTCTTCTTTATCTAAGTCAAATGAATAGAGGAAAAAATAATCCTTAGTTTTGAGAGCAAGGATTCTTTCTCTTTACCCTCCCTTTTAGTGTTACGTTAGATTTTTGGTTAGTTACGCATTTTTTAAGATTACCAGTGTGGTATAAGTTCAGCATTTGTCCTTAGACATCATGTTTTAGTTATCAGTCATTATGTACTATAAAATATTTATTAAATATTACTTGTAACAATTATTTCCTTTTAAAGCATCAGAATTTTGAAGAACAAATGCAAGGCATGAAGACCCAGCTAATTCAGCTGAGTACCTTACTTCGATTGTTAGACAGTGGATTTTGCAGTTACTTAGGTAAGTTTAGTGAATCAGAACTATACCCAGCAAATTGTAGAGTAATGCATAGAAAAAAATGTAAAGAACTCTTTAAAGAAGCCAGGTGCAGTGGCTCATGCCTATAATCCCAGCACTTTGGAAGCCAAGGAGGGAGGATTACTTGCACCCAGGAGTTTGAGACTAGCCTGGCTAGCACAGTGAGACCCCATCTCTACAAGGAAAAAAAAATGCTGGCTGTGGTGATGCATGCCTGTAGTCCCAGCCACTCAAGAGGCTGAGGTGGGAGGATTACTTGAGCCGAGGAGGTTGAGGCTACAGTGAACTGGGATCACTCCACTGCACTCCGACCTGGGTGACATAGCAAGACACTGTCTCAATAAAAAAGAACTTAAAGACATATATACTCTATTGCACTTTCTTCGGTTCCATAAAAATGTGGAACCAAACTCTCTTTGTATAATTCTGCCTTAAACTTGATTCGTAAAATGTATTATTTGTTAGTTTTTAAAAAGAAGTCAGCCTTCAAGTTTGAAATGATTCCTTAACGTAGAAGACAAATGTATAGGGCCTTGAATTGCCTAAGATGCATAGGAAAGTTAGAGAAAAGTAACTGTATTCTGACATAATTAGCATAAGAGTAAGTCATATGTGTGTTTTTTTCTTCTGCATAGAATCTCAGGACTCTGGATACCTTTATTTTTGCTTCAGGTGGCTTTTAATCAGATTCAAAAGGGAATTTAGTTTTCTAGATATTCTTCGATTATGGGAGGTAAGTCCTTAAATTATTATGCAAATGTGATATTTATTATGAAAAGAAACAATTTATTCTGTAGAGTGTAAATGAATTATGATAGCCTTACTGAAATATCTAAGGCAAGTATGTTCCAAAATTCTGATGAACTGGTAGCCTCTTCTTAAAAATTAGTTTCACACTGAATATTTGGTCTTTTGGAGCTTCGTTCTTCAAATCACAATCTCTGTGAGATTTGGGGCCAAGAGGTATCCCAGAACAAGTGCTCTAGACCATTTGCTGCCTTTGTTCTTCCTTTGTGAGACTTGACTTTATGTGAGGCTTTGCCACATCTGTTATAGAGGATATTCTTATGTTTTTGGTGTACTCCTTTTGTTCCATTTTTTACCCAAGGCAACTCTTTATTTTTTCAACTTTTATTTTAGGTTCAGGGAGTACATGTGCAGGTTTGTTACATAGGTAAATTGCATGTTGCTGAGGTTTGGTGTGTGAATGATTCCATCACCCAGGTAGTGAGCATAGTACCCAATAGGTAATTTTACATCCCATGTTTCCCTTACACCATCCCCCCATGTGTAATCCCCAGTGTTTATTTTTCCATGGCAACCTTTAATGAAAAACCAAATCATTTCACATTTTCTAAAGTATTTGCTAATAATAAATCAGTGTGCTTTTTTTTTTTTTTTTTTTAAAGAGAAGGGGTCTTGCTATGTTACCTAGACTGATCTCGAACTCCTGGACTCAAGTAATCCTCTTGCCTCAGCTTTATAAGTAGCTGGGACTACAGGTCTACAGGTGTATGCCACTGTGTCCAGCCCAGTGTGCTTGTTCATAGAATGCTGGTATAATGATTGATCATACCTTAGGATAACAGAAATTCTTCCAAGGAAAGAATTGGGAGATAATCCATTTTGATTGTAAATCCAACTTTATACAGTGGAACTCTAGTGGTCTCTGAGGTTTTTACAGCTGGAAATGGATTCCTATACTATTGATGGCTGTGCTACCATTAGACAAGGCATTGTGCTGATTACAAGTTAAAAGTGGATTACTTTATGCTCACTTCCTCTGTTCTCAGATTAGAAGTAAAACCCACATGGTCTCTATCTGGAATCGTACTTAAATGTTTATCAGTTTTGTTAAATTAGTGTCTTAATTTGGGGGTTAAAAATGGGTTAATGTATTTATGCCTAGTGTTCCATTATTGGAACGCTAAGCATGTGGGAGTTGTTTATATCCTACTGCTCAAGGTCATCACCAAGGTCTGATTGAAAAATTCAAAAAATTGCATCCTCAGGCATAAATGGGTTTTAAAGGATGAATTAAGAATATTATTACCACATAGCTAGAATAACTCCTCAATCTGTGTTTACTAAATAAATTCAAACTTTTAATGAAACCTTTGAGGTTAATTGCATTGTAATTAAACTTTCAACAATTGGGTTTAGTTTGAAAATTATTCAACTTGATTTACTCCTTTTGAAAGAAGTAAACACATTTCGGGTATGATCTCATGGTATGGTTTGTGTGGGTGTTTTTATCTTTGTGGAAAATATATTATTAGGTACATGAAGCAGGGGGAAATTAAGACCCTAAATTCGAGGATATTATCTGTATTTAGGAACAGCTGAGCTGTTGATCAAGCGTTTTCTATGTTTGGTTATAAATTTGGGGCAGTTAATTCAGTTATTGTCACAATCAGGGATAAAATGTGATACAAGGGTTTTACGTATTTAGAATGTAGAGCTACCTCTGGGTGTTTCTGATTCCATGTACTGTGTAACTGAACCTTTTTTTATTTCCAGGACTTAGCTTTAGTCTTTTCTCAGATCGAAGTGAGAAACTGATACTTCAGAAAAATATTGAAAATACATCTAACCCTTACACCTTAACCTTGTGTCTGTAGCTCCTGCATTAATAACATTTATCATACTGGTTAGGCTCAGTAATTTACTTACTATAGTTACCTTAAAGAGCCACATTTAGAATATATCATATTCATATAAACTCGATGATAGTTACTTTGTAGCTGAAGGTAAGACTCTCCTTCCCCTCATTTCCTAGCTAGAAAAACCTTGGGCTACCCTAAACAGGCAACATCTACTTTGCATAGAAGTCATTCAGTGTTCAGAATTGTATCTGTGAGGAAAATGTTTTAGAATTGATACAATTTGCAAAATAGTTCTTCTGCCTTCTATAGGTAATGTGGACCGAACTACCATGTACAAATTTCCATCTTCTTCTCTGTTGTGCTATTCTGGAATCAGAAAAGCAGCAAATAATGGAAAAGCATTATGGCTTCAATGAAATACTTAAGGTAGTTATTCCTTTAATTCAGATTTTAGTGTTCTGGCTTTTCTATTTGGTGGTCCTGATATACAGAACGTTTCCTTGGAACATTATTAAATCTCTTGAGTAACTTAAATTGTGTCAATAACAGTGCTAGGAATGACTATCTGAGAATGACAGTTCAAATACATATTGGCCAGTTATTTTTACCTGGCTAATTAGGAAGAAAAGGAAATTCAACAAGTGCTCTTTTATGTAGTTTAGTTTTTCAAAAATTAATTGTCTTTTGATTATAACTTTGAGATATCAGACTTGGAATAGCTGCTGGATTTAATGTTCCATAAGCTTATTAGCTAGTCTTTAGCTTTAAAACTTGAAATAATCTAAAGAAAGATATATTGAATTTCTTACGTATTTGTAGTATATGAATGTTTTTATTTTAAGGATTTTATCTGCAGTGAAATATAACTGGTAATAAATTGTTTATATAATAGAATATAATAGTGTATTCAGTTTCGATATCATTTTATTTTGTTGATACTTTTTAGCATATCAATGAATTGTCCATGAAAATTGATGTGGAAGATATACTCTGCAAGGCAGAAGCAATTTCTCTACAGATGGTAAAATGCAAGGTATACAGTGTTTCAAGTAATTGCAAGATTTGTTTGTTTTTGGTGGGTTGAGATCAAGAAAGATTTTTCTTCTTGGAAATAAAATAGCAACTTTAGTAAGCTGAGGGCAGGCACAAAGTATTGGCTGGCTTTTTGTTTGCTGTTCTAGATTTACAGCACTTAATTGAAAACAGTTGACTATGGCAGATAGGAAACAGCTAATAATAAGGCAAAATGGTAAAAGTAATGAAAATATTTCTATAACAAAGAGGCTGTAGAATTTCAGCAATGATATATTACCCAGTTGAGCTCATGAATGCAGAATAGGCTGTCATATTAAATATGCAGAATCTCTAAACAAAAATGAATGCTAATCAGAAATAATTAAATCAATATTATTTAGCCTGTGTCACTCACTTATATTAGTCAAGTTATTAATTATTTTAAAACAAGGCAAATTTGATGTATTATCTGAATTTGAACCAAAGCAGTATACTTTTGATGTGTTTTAGCTTTTTCTTTCTATTAAGAGAAAGGGCCTTGCTAAGTTGCCCAAGCTGGCCTTGAACTCCTGGGCTCAAGTGATCCTCCTGCCTTAGTTTCCTGAGTAGCTGGGATTACCAGTGCATGCACACCACTGTGCCCACCTCATGACTTTGCTTTTTTTTTGAGACAGAGTCTTGTTCTGTTGTCCAGGCTGGAATGCAGTGGCGTGACCTCGGCTCACTGCAACCTTCTCCTCCTGAGTTCAGTCGATTCTCCTGCCTCAGCTTCCCGAGTAGCTAGGATTACAGGTGCCTGCTACCATGCCTGGCTAATTTTTGTATTTTTAGTAGAGACGAGGTTTCACCATGTTGGCCAGGTTGGTCTAGAATTCCTGACTTCAGGTGATCCACCCACCTCGGCCTCACAAAGTGCTGGGATTACAGGCGTGACCCATCACGCCCGGCCATGACTGCATTTTTTTTTTTTGATACTTCAAGTTCTAGGGTACATGTGCACAACATGCAGGTTTGTTACATAGGTATACATGTGCCACATTGGTTTGCTGCACCCCTTATGACTTTGCATTTTTATGAAAATTCTTGCTTGGTCCTTGTATCATTTGTTCATTGATCCAAACTGTTACTTGGTTCAGTTCTACAAACATTTATTTGATACCTGTTCTCTTCCAAAGCATGTCAATGAGATACTTCTTGCCTTGAAGAACTTTGTTTACTGAGAGAGACAGATGATCTAAGAAAGATATTATTACAAAAAGTAGAAAGAGATAAATGCCAAATATTAGGACATGCTATGTTTGTGGGAATGTGGAGGTGGGATGGAGAGTGACTAATTTGGAAGATATCCAAGAACCACTTAGGGCGAAAGGTGGTTAGCATTTCATTTGGAGCTGAGAAAAATGTTGTGAGAAGGGTACATGACATTTACACTGTTAGGACAAATGCTCAGATTCTGGAATCAATGTAGTCTTAAACAGAAGTGTTACTTTGTGGTTATTTTTCCTCTGTAGTGAAATATGGTTTTGAGTTTGATTTTTCATATCCAGGAATTGCCACAAGCAGTCTGTGAGATCCTTGGGCTTCAAGGCAGTGAAGTTACAACACCAGATTCAGACGTTGGTGAAGACGAAAATGTTGTCATGACTCCTTGTCCTACATCTGCATTTCAAAGTAATGCCTTGCCTACACTCTCTGCCAGTGGAGCCAGAAATGACAGCCCAACACAGATACCAGTGTCCTCAGATGTCTGCAGATTAACACCTGCATGATCACTGTTCTTGCTTTTTTGGGAAGAGACACTTTGTTGCAACCCTTTTTCAAGTACTTGAAAGTTGAAAATTTGAAATCTTGGTATTGATCATGCTTTAAGGTTTATGTAAAGAAAGTGTACTGATGTTCTTACATTAAAGCTTTACAAAGATTTAAACTAATTATTTTTGTAGTTACTTCTACCAAATAGCCTTTCCTTTTCGATAACATTCCTCAGTATTTTTATAGCCAAGTACATTTTATTTTCTTGCTGATGAACTGGAATTGGATAAATATTGCAAGTGGATGAGTTGGAAATTATGCACTTTGAAAAACATTCACTTTGTTTAAGCTTATTGGGTTTCAGATTTGATTAAATTAAATGTGGAGGCTTTCTATAGCATTCTAAGCTGAGAAGTAGATTGTTACCCAGTAATGAAATAAAAAATAAAAATAAAAGGATTTTTTTCTCTATTGTTTACGACAGTACTCAGCTTAAATATTTATGCTGGTCAAATGTGATTTAAATTGGACATTTTCATCAATGCAGTCTAATGTGTAGATAAATATTTCAACCATAATAAGTGGATTGGCAGTATATTTTTTACATTGAACTTTTCTTCACTTGTATATAAAGATTATATATAAGTACTTATTTATGAGTATAAGAAAGGTTAGGCATATTTTCATTAACTGAATAAACGACTTGATTTATATAACCTGGTTTATCAAAATTTAACATGGCTTCAGTATGAGATCTTTTTCAAAACTATTTTCTTAAACATTTATTTCATGAGATTATGTTCAACCCTGTACCTGGTGTAATTTTAAAATTAATTGCTTGTAACCTCACTTTACTAATAATGTTTATTATCTTTCCTAATAATGCATTAACTGATTAATCAGGTGTTTAAATTTTTATAAAATACTCTTGCAAAAAGTTTATTTGAAAAATTTCTAGATGGTCTCATGAGTTTCAAAATAATAATTTTTGTGTATGAACAAAGCTGTTGTTTTTACCATGCAGTATTGCATGATTTTAAGTTATGTGGAATTAACATAACTGATTTTGTTTTAATTGTAAGTTGTTAACTCCTGTATATATCATTAAAATAAATCTGAAGTTGAAGTAGTGTTTTTAGTTAAATTATACTTAGAAATAGTCTGCTTTTTTAAAATTTTTTTTCTTGAGAAAGAGTCTTGCTCTGTTGCCCAGGCTGGAGTGCAGTGGCGCAGTCCTGGCTCACTGCAGCCTCCGCCTTCTGGGTTCAAGCGATTCTCCTGTCTCAGCCTCCCGAGCAGCTGGGACTACAGGCTTGTGCCATCGCGCCTGACTAATTTTTGTATTTTGAGTAGAGATGGGGTTTCACCATGTTGGCCAGGCTGGTCTCGAACTCTTGACCTCAAGTGATCCACTCGCTTCAGCCTCCCAAAGTGCTGAGATTACAGGTGTGAGCCACTGTGCCCGGCTAATTCTTTAATAGAAGAAAAAACATCCAAGATGGACCTCAATTCATCTCTTATTTTTATATGATTAAAATGATAATCTGGCCGGGCGCGGTGGCTCACGCCTGTAATCCCAGCACTTTGGGAGGCCGAGGCGGGCGGATCACGAGGTCAGGAGATCGAGACCATCCCGGCTAAAACGGTGAAACCCCGTCTCTACTAAAAATACAAAAAATTAGCCGGGCGTAGTGGCGGGCGCCTGTAGTCCCAGCTACTTGGGAGGCTGAGGCAGGAGAATGGCGTGAACCCGGGAGGCGGAGCTTGCAGTGAGCCGAGATCCCGCCACTGCACTCCAGCCTGGGCGACAGAGCGAGACTCCGTCTCAAAAAAAAAAAAAAAAAAATGATAATCTGAATAAGTTATGGAAATGAAAACCATCCTTTTTATAACTGAAAAAAAATTTTCATTAGCATGGAAATGGGCACAGTGTTGCCTTGAAAGATACAGTTATTTGACTCAGTAAAGCAGCTTATTACAACTGATGCTAATAGTATAGAGAAAAAAGTTGTGCAGTTCTAAAATGGTCCTAGAGATTGACTTTTTTCCCCCAAGAAAGTTAGGGAACAAAACGAACTTTTTTCCTGGTTGAGCATTAACTGACAATCACGACAGTAGAACCGTTAGAGTTTAGTTTTTAATATTATGTGTGTTATCTTTCATCAGTTAATAATGAGTAAGCCTATTCAGAAAAAGAACATAAACTGATCAAAAACTCAGCATCTCCAGCCTTTCATTTCCTGCTATTCAGGAAATTGCTTAGAACATCTTGATGTCCTCCTTGTTCTTCCTGGACAGTGACTTTTTGGGAGTTTGTTCCTGCTGCGTAATGTGATACCCACTTCAGATTTTTTTTTTATCAATACATTTAGTAAGTTGAACTTCTGTCAAGTTTTATTACAAAATTACTTGTTAAAACAATTTTTACTAAACTGCATTTCTATCTAGCATATTTTTGATATGGAAGTGATAGTATAGTATAGTTCCAGGAGAAGTCTTAAATCAGTCCACAGAGTCCAGTTAGCAAATACTCTGTGCCATTAAGATTGCTAAAATACACAGTTCAGGTAAATTTACTAGTGTTTTTTAAAGGTTTATTTGTTTTCACAAGATGCTCTGTCCACACCCTTATAACATGTAAAATATTGTGTGCTGTATTATGTGGTAAAGTTGTTAAAATTCAGTTTCTAACATTAACTTAAAAGTACAGACAATCTAACATGATGATTTGACTTACAAACTTTCAACTAAATTTATGATGGCTTTAAAGCAGTGCACTGAATAGAAACCATACTTTGAGTACCCATACAGCCATTTTTCACTTTTACTACAATATTCTATAAATCACATGAGATATTTAACACTTTATTATAAAATAGGCTTTGTGTTAGATGATTTTGCCCAAATGTAAACTAATGTAGTGTTCTGAGCATGTTTAAGTTAGGGTAGGCTAAACTATGTTTGGTAGGTTAGATGTATTAAAAGCATTTTTGATTAATGATGTCTTCAATTTATGATGTGTTTATTGGAACATAACCTCAATATAAGTTGAAAAGCATATGTATTTTCAATTCTGGCATGAACCTATGGGAATCTTTTGCATTTAAGAACCTCCCCATTTTAATAATTTCATGGGTCTAAGATTCTTCATCTGTTTATAAGGAACTTTAGTCTTAGTGATTAGAGACTAAATTTTTTTTTGAGCAGTAAGAAAACAGCCTTTTGGGACAGATAGTGAGTGATTCTTAGGAACTTGACATTGCCAAGAAATTTTATAGATGCCGAAGAATTCTTATGTGAAATTCACATAAGCATGCCCATTACTAAAGACAGTTTGTATAAAGTAACCCTAAATGTTTATTGAGGAACCTACAGCTTCAACTGACTTACGTGCAGATATGTACCAGGAGAACATCATTTTAGCTTGGGCGTCTTTACTTGGGGTTTTCAGAGGATCCAGGAACCTCACTGTATGCAAAGTCTTGTGGATGTACCTGAATGTTTTTGGAGGCAGGTCACATAGTTTCTGAAAGTGTTCTCTTATTTTCCTCAAATGTAGGTAACCATTGTTACAAGTTATTTAACAGGAGAATAGTAACAATGTCTAACTTATGCTAATGATTTTGTGTGCTGAGCTCCCATTAATTAAAATGTCTTCAGAATGCTTGTTTCCAGATCCTTGGTCTGTATTATTAAGATACATGTCTAGGTGCTACTTCAGGCTTACAGAATCAGTCTTTGGAAGTCAGATCAGGAATCTGCATTTTAACAAGCATCCAGGTGATTTCTTGAGCCCCTCTGAAGTTAGAGCACTACCATTATATATTGTATTTCATATGTTAATCTTTTGATTTATGGCCAAGTGGACAATTCCCTTAATTTTTAAAAGCTTGTCCCTTGATTTTCTAAGATATTTGCTCTAGTTCCGGTCGCCATTTTTAGTAAAAAGTGATGACAGCTCAGCCTGTTATATGTAGATTTCTCATTTCTTACTTTCTGAAGAAAATTAAGCTTTCTGTGTCACTTCTGAGCACGAAACAAGATTAAATTATTGGAATCTGAAAGGCTTCCATCAGTACCTAATCTCATTACCTGATACTAAGTATCTGTACTTGGACATATGTATATACACTGCCGTTTGAATAATGCAACCATATTTGGCCTGTTCTTCCCTTGGGATCTTACAATATGGGGAATTTAAGTTGTATATTTTTGAGGAGTTTTCTAATTACAGATGCTTTCCCCATTGTTGTATGCAGGCTTCTAATTTTCAGGCCATGCATCTTGACACAGGGAAAAATGGTGTGTCACCCTTAGATAGAAAGGTTGGGGGAGTGCCTGCGGTTGTACTGGACATCCACACTCTTTTTTAATATCCACAGCACCTCTTTCAGCCACCTGGGAAATTACACTGTTTATGAAATCAATGTTTAAAAGAAGTGATTGTAAACAAAAGTCTTCTAAGAACGATCAGGAATCAAGAATCCTATCATTTTTGCCTAATGTGATTCAATCCCTATTGATGAAATCAGGATGTTAGAATAATAGGAAGTGAACTATTAAGTATGCCTCTCCCTCTCAAATGATCTAGATAGTATATTGCCCCTCACATACCCCCTCTCTCTGCAAAAGATGACAGAACGAAAAGAAATTCCAGTAAGCTTTGCTGTGATCAATGAGCAGCAGTCAGTTTAGCTTAGCTTTTTAAATTAAAAAGACCTATTAACTTCTAAGATGGACTTTTACTGTGACAGTCAATAATGTGTCCAATATCACACTAGTCTGATTGGAAGCACAGGACCCAGTACAGTAGGTTGGTAGACTGCTTTAAAAATAGAAATAGAGCTATTTTTCTATGGCTTTGAGTGTTGTTTTCCCTGATCATGTAGGTACTAGAATCCCTTCCATTGGTGTAACTGACTCACTTTAGAAAGCAAGTTGCTCTCCAGTAGGAGAGCCATCAAGGTACTTCTGAATGTCAGCATTAACACTGCATGCTACCTACAGTCACTGTCAGGGGCACGAATATGGAGTACGTACCGAAAGATTTTGGCCACATGTTTTGTTAGCTAAGTCAAGTCTTAAATGAGCCAAATGTAGTATTTGCTGACTAGGAAGTAAGTCATTTGAAATTAACAGTATTTAGGCTGTACATGGTGGCTCATGCCTGTGATCCCAGCACTTTGGGAGGCTGAGACGGGAGGATTGCTTGAGCCCAGAAGTTTAATGTTACATTGAGCTATGATGGTGCCACTGCACTCCAGCCTGGGCAACAGAGCAAGACCCTATCTCTTAAAAAAAAAAAGTTAACAGCATGTAACCCTAATAGATTATATAGAGATTAAATTGTTAAGTTTTTGGAGTGAAATGTAAGTTCTTTTAGTTTTTGTACTTTTAAAAGTAATACTATTATAAACACATAGATGTCCCTTTACACACTTCTTCCCCCAAATGGACATCTGCTATTCCTTCTTTCGCACATCAAGGTGTAAAGTAGTGAAGTCTAAAAGCTGAATTTTTAAAACTTGCTCAAATATTTATCCCAAAGTTATTCAACTTTTGAATAACTTTGGGACAAATTATTCTTTTTTGATTAACAGAGCTTTTAAGCATTCTGTGTAAAAGCTAATGACTTCTTAAAGGAGGAGAAACTATAGTTCTCACTAGCTTCCTCCACATCCTACTAATAATGTTTTTCTAAACTAACCTTTGAACTTTCTGTGGAGAATGACTTTTGCCAAAGTTTTATTGACAAGTGAAGACAGGAGAAAATCCTTTTCATTGACATTTCATACCTGAAAAGCGCTTCATAAGCTACAGCTTACATAGTGGATGGGTTGTCTTGGCAAAGGCACATCTTAGGGATGGAATTTAAGGAATAAGAATGTGGTCAATTAGTTCAGATGGCAGAATTCTGAAGCCATCAGTCAGACACACTAGAATCCTTTCCCGATTGAAATTGCTTTTATCAAAAGGCAATAACCGATGCTGGAGAGGATGTGGAGAAAGGGGAACTCTCATACACTTGGTGGGAATGTAAGTTAGTACAACCACCATGGAGAACAATTTGGAAGTTAGTAAAAAAAAAAAAAAGCTAAAAAAACTACCATATGGTCCAGCAATCCCACTGCTGAGTGTACATCCAAAAGAAAGGGAATTAGAGTATCCAAGAGAGATGCGTACTCCCATGTTTATTGCAGCATGATTATAAGAGCCAAGATATGGACTCAACCTACACATCCATCAACAGATGAATAAAGAAAATGTGGTACATATACAGAATGGAATATTATTCAGCCATAAAAATAAAATTCTGATGTGACAACACAGATGTAAGTAGAGGACATGTTAATTGAAATAAGCCAGGCATGGAAAGATAAATATTTCATGTTCTCATTCATATGTGGAGGCTAAGAAAAATTGCATTTATGGAGATAGTAGAATGATGGTTACCAGAGGGTGGGAAGGGTGGTGGGGAGGTGGGACAAAGAAGGGGTGGTTAATGCGTATAAAAATACAATCAGAAGGAATAAGATCTAGTGTTTGGTAGCACAACAGGGTGACTATAGTTAACAATAATTTATTGTATATTTCAAAGTAAAGAGTAGAATTGGAATGTTCCTAATGCAAAGAAACGATAAGTGCTTGAGGTGATGACTATCTGCCCTCCCACCAAAAAAAATTCTTTCTCCAAATGTATTCCCCTTAATCCTAACAGGACAACTGAATCATTCTGAACATAAGAATACAACTTCCTTTAAAAAAACAACACACACACACACACACACACACACACACACACACACATACACAACACTTGTAGAAAAGGAGATTCTTTACCACAGAAATTCTCATTTTTATGGGTCACTCTGAATTTGATTTTGTGACACTTTTTCCCATGTCTGGATTGCTGAGGTTTCCACATCCTTCTTCAGCTCTACCCCTCAGAATTAGACATAAAGAAGTAAGTTTAGAAGAGAGTTTATTCTGTAAGAAGGTTTGAATTATAAATATTGTATTTGATAGCTTCACAATACCGAGTGGATCCATAAGAGGCCTAGCCTTGGTCCAGGGTTCACTCATATTTTAATTTCCTAAGTTTCCTGAGTTTTCCTTAAAGTCTCACATTGTCTAAGAGCATCACCATGGATTTTAAAAAATACAGTCTTCGTTGTTAAGCTTGCTTTAAAAAACTGCCGCCAGGCACGGTGGCTCATGCCTGTAATCCCAACATTTTGGGAGGCTGAGGTGGGTGGATCACCTGAGGTCAGAAGTTCAAGACCAGCCTGGTCAACATGGCAAAACGCTGTCTCTACTAAAAATACAAAAATTAGCTGGGTGTGGTGGCGGACACCTGTAATCCAGGCTAACAGGGAGGCTGAGGCACAAGAATCACTTGAACCGGGGAGGTGGAGGTTGCAATGAGCCGAGATCGTGCCACTGCACTCCAGCCTGGGCAACAGCAAGACTCCATCTCAAAAGAAGAAGAAGAAGAAAAAAAAGTAGAAGTTTTATATGCCTTATTTTTATTCTTGTTCTCTTATAATTTATATGCTATCACTGACCCAAAGTTTCTTGGCCACAATTTAGAATTGTATACCCATGTAAACTCAAATAATGTGAGCCGTGTTGATAGGTGGTACTTCAAATAATACAACTTGCTTTAGGGGCTTGTTTTCTCAAGTTCAAGGTGAATTCAGGGTGGAGTCTGGATGCCTGGGTCACCTTTATAAGGTGCTTTATATTCTTGCAAAGAATATAAAATTTATTCTATAAGCTTTGGAAGTCAAATGTCAGAAAATAATTTAGTCAAACTGAATTGTTCATATTAGAAAATGTCTACTTATGAAGTAAAACAAAAAGCTTAGACTAAGAACACAGATTGAGTCCGTCATGGGTCTGAGACCTGGTTCAGTTGCTTCTTAGTTTTGTGACCAGGCCTCTCAGCCCTCAGTTTCTCATTTGTAGATGAGGATATTACCTACCTCAGTTGTGAGGAGTAAATGGAGTACATATAAAATGTCTAATATGGTACTGGGCATGATAAAGCACTTATAAATGCTATCATTATTATTTCATGGCAACCAAATAGATACTGCCACAAACTATCTTTTTGAATCTTAAAGCTACATGGTTTGCTTTTCCTCCCCAAACATACTATCCTACAGATAGAGCCTTGAGGCACCCATTGGTTTTTTTTCTATTGACTGAGGTCATTTTGACTCCAAATCTGAACTGTGTATTCTGGTTTCTTCTGAGCCACAGCCTCACTGACCCCACCATAAATCACCATTCTTTTTATGCTTCAGTTTTCTTCATATTTGCTTAGATATGCTTGCCTTTTATCCATTCCCCCTTTATAAAAATTATTATTAAAAATGATGAAAGATGAGTGTAAGATACAGCTTATGTTTTGCTTATTTATGAAGTCTGATCACCCTCAAGTCAATAAATAATCAAAATTAAAAATGACATGTCTGCATTAAACATTTTTAGTAGTATGGGAAATTATGGTGTCTGACAGTCAGTGAACATTTTATTAGGCAACAAATTAATGCTTAATATTGTGGACAGCTGTTTTTGGTTATGCTTCAACATTAGGTCAATTTGGTCAGACTCTGATACCAAATTGTCCTGCTTGATTTCAGGTCAGATTGTATTATCTGCATGTCTAGATGGTTGACACAGCCTTCATGCAAAGTTTCAGTGCAATTTTTCTTTGTTTATCCTTTTTCCCTCTCAAAATGATAGTTTATGTAGTATTTGAGAGTAATCAGCAGGAACAAATACTTTTTTGTGTTATAAACACCATCTGTTACAATATGAGTTGAAGTGCTAAAAGCCACTTGAGTATTAATTTTCAGAAATTTTCATCTGAGCACAGTGTATCACTCATATTGACTATTGAGACTAATAATCAAGGCTTTTCACTCAAAGTCAGGAGAGATGTTGGTTTGTGCATATCTTGAAAATAAAATGGTGTTATGGAGGAGTCTGCTTGAGTTTCCTAAAGGTAAAAAATTGCATGCTTATTTCATTTCCTTTTACTGATAAGTTACAATACTACTAAATCAAGGAAGCACCTTAGATAGGCAATAAACTTATTTTGGTATGATATTCATGTGGTTAATTTGACAAAATTAGGAGCAGTTGGTAGTAATAGAGAACAATTGCTGCCAAGAAGACCAAAGTATACCCTATAATCTCTAGAAGACAAAGTTGATGGGAAAAAAATCCAGCCAAACTAATTGTGAGCTTGATTGTGTGCTATAAATATAAAGGTCAGCCCTTTCTCTTGCCTTGTTCAACATGAATTTAAGCATAGTAAGCACATGCACCAAATTTGCTTGTGACACATACTTGATAGACTGGAATGATGGCTTAAAACCTAAAGGACAAATTATTAAAGGAAAAGGAATCAGACTTTTTGTCGAATTCCAATCTTGAAACTCTCACTTTGCTTTGAGTATCTCCAAACTCTCACATCCAATATCTATCCTTTAATAACTTTACACCTGCTTTCTCCATTCACACTGGGGTGTTGCCAGGCAAATTCTCCCTTACTTTAAGTCTACTCATGTCCTTCCATTCTTTCTCCCGAACACATTTCTTTGCACTGCTGAAGCCTAGATTTCTCTTCACGACATTGCATTTCCAGCTGGCTTCTAACTTGGCCAGCATGGTGGGTGTGAGTGGTAAGGGAAGGAGAAGAAATAAGGAGTCCTCAGGCCTCTCACTTTCTGTCTATGAAATGGAAATTGGTAGGTGTGGATAGGTTGGTCTCTTCCAGTTGTGGGCCATGGATGCTTCAGCATCCCCTTGGTTGTCTTAGTTTATTTATATTGCCTTTTTCATTTCTTTGTTCATATGGGCTACAGCCTCTCAGAAGCCATTTCCATTTTTCCAGGTGTTTTAAGGACTAGTTTATAGTATTTCTCTCATTTCACTGCTTTCCTCAATGACAACAAATACCTATGTTGAGGACTCATTGGTGTTCTTAATATAAAACTTCCCTAATTTTGTGGACCCCTATTTCATATCTCAGCTGTTTGCCGTCATGGCCATTCATGATCACATGGCCCTCTTACACCTGTAAGATCTTATATTGGAGGTCTCCTTATCTGACAGTATCTCTTTTTATATTTTCCCACCCAATTTTTCGCTTCCTGATGCCTAGCCTCTTTAGCTGCTTGATCCAAGCCACTTCTGTTGGCTTACCTTGTGACTATTGACTTCTTACTTATCATGAATTATGAGGGCAACCACCTCATTAAAACCTAGGTATCCACGTCTCTTAAATTTCTGTCAAATATTGCAAACCAATGCTCAATTTTATATTACTCTGGCTTCAGAATCAATGAGGCATAGGGAGATAATTAACACTTTGAGTGTCGAATATCTGCCAGCCACCATGTTAATCACTTTATACATATACAATACAATCAGCATAACAGCCCTATAAGGTTTAGATATTATTGCCCTACTATTACAGAAATGGAGGCTGAAAAATGTGAAGTAATGTGTCCTGATTAAGCATAAGTAGGCAAATAGCAGAGTGAAGATTTAAACTTAGTTTTATTTTTAAAAATGTCTTATTTCCATGCAGTATTTATTTATTTATTTATTTACTTTAGAGATGGGGTTTTGCTCTGTCATTCAAGCTAGGGTGCAGTGGCATGACCATAACTCACTGCAGCCTTGAACTCCTTGGCTCAAGCGAGCCTTCTGCTTCAGCCTCCTGAGCAGCTGGGAATACTGCCACATACCATTACACTAGTAATTTTTATTTTTATTTTTGTCTTTTGTAGAGATGGGGTCTCATTATGTTTCCCAGGCTGGTCTTAAACTCCTGGCCTCAGCAATCATCCTGCCTTGGCCTCCCAAAGTGCTGGGATTATAGGCCTGAGCCATTATGCCCGGCATAATGTATTTTTAAAGTTTATATTTTTGTAATCAATATCACACAGGTACATGGTTTCCACAAGACTTTTTGTTATGAGAAACTGTTCCTCTCCTTCTCCCCGCCATCCATATCCTCCTACCCTCCCCAACCCCCACCAGTGGCGAGACTTTCAACTGTCAGGTCATGCTTGTGGTATTTACTTCCATATGTCCCAATGCTGTAATATGTGTATGCTGCTACTACTTTGATTTTCAGCTCTAGGCATTAACCATTGATTTTTCATCTTGGAAGACAAGAATTTAGCTGTTTACCCTCTCCCCACAGCCCCTATTATTCACATACACACTTTCTTATCTGTCTGTCTTCTAATATAATTGATATAATATTGGTTAGGTCAATATTTAGTGCTTATGTTATGACTTCGTAACTGTAATCCCCAAATGAGACATGCTCCCCTTCAGCCCTAATTTTCATTTTTCTTGGGGAGTTAATTCTTATCAAGGTTTTTTACTGGCTGATTTTATATACAGTTGTCACTAATCTAACCCCACACTCTCTACCAAATATTTAAATTGAGGCTTGTCAAATGTGAGCTTACCTACAGGGTAATCTGTTTGCATTATTTTGTTCAGAGCTTTCAATATTATCTGAGCTTTCAGTGTGTTTTAAGATCTTGCCTTTGCCAGATTCTCCAAAGATATTTTTTGTCTTTATTTGGCTGGAGAATAAATGCCTGGCTGTCAGACTTCTGAGGTTTGGGAGTCTCCATGTCATGATATCATGAGTCTCACTACCTCAATACATTCATTTAATCAGAATGGTACCCGTATTCTCAACTATGCCTGATGCTCCTAAGTACAGAGGCCCTTTGTTTTACCCTTTCCAGAGAATAACCTTCAATTTTCTACCTGGGGGCAAAAGAGGAGGTGGCTTGGCTATTTAGTCAAGGGGAATATGGAATTTTAACTCCTTTTTAAAAATAAGATAACAGCTTTATCGAGATATGATATATATGCCAAAAGATTCCCTCCCTTAAAGTGTACAATTTTGTGGTTTTTAGTATATTCACAAAGTTGTGTAAATATCACTAATATTTAATTTTATTAGTGATGAATTCTGTATGAATTTTATTAGTGATAAATTCTGTATAAAAATTCATTTTCATACAGAAACCTTGTACCTTTTAGCAGCTATTCCCCACCTCTTCTTTTTTTCCAGTCCCTGGCAGCCACTAATCTACTTTCTGTGTGTGTCTCTCTCTCTTTTTAAAACGATCTCTTTTTACATCTTCTAGACATTTCATATAAACAAAATCTTGCAATACATGCATGGTCTTTTGTGACTGGCGTCTTTCACTTAGCATAATATTTTCAAGGTTCACCCATATTGTAACATGTATCAGTACATTATTTCCTTATATTGCTAAATAACATTTTATTTATCATGTATCATTTTTTGTTTTTTTCATTAGGTGATAGTATTTGAGTTGTTTCTATTTTTGGCTATTATGAATAATGCTGCTATGAACATTCATGTACAGTTTTTGTGTGGATGTATATTTTCATTTTTCTTCGGTGTATACCTAAGGGTGGAATTGCTGAATCATGTAGTAACTCTAGTTTTACCTTTGTGAGGAACCGCCAAACGTTTTTTCAAAGTGACTACACCATTTTACACATAGCTAGGAGTGAAATTGTTGAGTCATACAGTAACTTTATGTTTTGCATTTTGAGAAACCACCAAACTGTTTCCCAAAGTGACTGTACCATTTTATAATACCACCAGCAATGTGTGAGTGTTCCACATTTTCTGCTTCTTTACCAACATTTGTTATTGTCTGTCTTTTTTATTTTAGCCATCCTAGTCGGTCAGAAGTCATACTGTGTTTTTTGATTTGCATTTCCCTAATGACTATTGATGTAGAGCACCTTTTCCTGTTTGCACTGGCCATATCTTCTTTGGAGAAATGTCTATTAATTTTTTTTTGCCCAGCCAGAGCATGATAGCAAGACCCTGCCTTTACAACAGCAACAAAAAATTAGCTGGGTGTGATGGCCTGTGCTTGTAGTCCCAGATGCTTGGGACGCTGAGGCAGGAGGATCACTTGAGCCCAGGAGGTTGAGGCTGCCAAGAACTATGATTGTGCCACTGCACTCCACTGTGGGTAACAAAGCCAGCTGTCTCAAATAAATTTTGTTTCCCAATTAAAAATTGGTCTGTTTTTTTAATTGCTGAGTTGTAGGAATTTTTTATTCTGGATACTGTTTCCTATGAGATATATGATTTATAAATATTTCCTCCCACATTGTGGGTTGTCTTTTCACTTTTCTGAGGGTGTCCTCTGAAGCACAGAAGTTTTTAATTTTGATGAAATCTTATTTTTTTCTTTAGGTACTTATGTTTTTGGTGTCCTATCTAAGAAACAATGGCCTAATCCAAAGTCAAAAACATTTACTCCTATCCTTTCTTCTAAGAATTTTAATTTTAGTTCTTACATGTGTGTTTGTGATTCATTTTGAGTTAATTTTTGTGTGCAATGTGAAATAGAAGTCCATCTTCATTATTTTGCATGTGGATATCCAAAGTTGTCCCGGGACAGTTTGTTCAAAAGATCATTCTTTCCCCATTGAATTGTCTTGGCACGTTTGTTGAAAATCAATTCCCTCTACATGTAAGGGTTTATTTCTGGACACTCAATTCTATTTCATTTACCTATATATCTGTCCTTAGTACCACACTGTCTTGATTATTGTAACTTTGTTATAAGTTTTGATTTGTCTAACTGCTTCTCACACTTTGAACCACTCTTTTTCAGTCTCATCTACCTTCAATTCCAGAGGTATTTGAGCCTTTAGGGTATTCTGTCATGTAAAGTGCGTTGCTTCTAAGTCTTCTTCATTGATAGCTTAAGGTTCAGCTTTCCCATGACTGCAAAGCCTTTGATCAGTTTTTTCTTCTTTCAAGCTGCTAATTTTTTGTTGCCATTGTTTTCCAACTTATGCGACTCTTGTGTACCTTGAAAAGGAATTTTTTATCTTGTTTTAATAGGGTTTCCAGGGTGAGCAAAAGTAGTTAAATCTTTAATATTCTAAATATATATTATAAATAAATTACTTTTAATATCTTTTTTTCCCTCATTTCCACATCCAAGCAGGGACACTATCTAGTGGATTTTATCCCTTCACATCTCTGGTTCTTTCATTACATCTCAGTAACATTAGCTACTATTATTGTCATTAGTTCATTTGCCTTATTTAAACTTGCTTCTCCTATTAGCTGATTAGAGCTGACCCTTACAGAAAATGTAAGCCAAATAATATTTTCAGAATTAGATCAATTAATAATTATGTCTCTTCAAGACTCCAGAAACAATTAAACTTCAGTCAATATTAGTTCATCCCGACTTGTTTTGAAATTTTTTTTCTATATAGACAAGCAGTGCCAGCACCAGATTTTGTTTAGATTTTCAGTCAAACAAGCACATTTGGTCAAGAGTTTTTCATTCTTCAGGAGATTGGTAACATTTTCCTGTGGCCTGGTGAATTTTATGACTTTCTAAGGTTTGAATAGTAAGAATATTGATTAATCTATGCATGTCAAGTTGCTGGATTTGATCTAGTTGACATTGATATTTGACAGTATGTTTAGTCATTAAAAGCTCAAATGTCATAGTACTCTTAACCTCTGCTTTCTCCTCACCACATAACGCACAGATCTCGTATATTTAAGTAGCACTTTTTATATGAAAGGGTCATGTCAAAGATTAAATTTCCATGATTTCCAGTAGAGAGAAAAACCACAAGAGTATTAAAATGAATGGCTGATATATGGGAATCTAGTTTCCTTTTATTTCTCATTTAGTAAGGAAGATTCCAGGATTAGTATCTGAGCTATATGTAATCTACATGTGGCTAAATTGAACCCTTACCTTTCCTTTGCAATACATTTTCCTCCATATAACTCTGCATAGAGGCATCACAGGATTAAGAAGAAGCCCTTTTATGAAAGCCATTACACATATATACACTCACACATTTGCATGCACAAAATTAGAATATGTCAAGTCAGAAAAAGCTTATTAACATAAAATGGAGTTGGTCAATGAGTAAAAAAAATATGCTGATGGGAGGGATAAGATCTAGTGTTCGGGAGCACAATAATTTATTTTCTTTTGTATTTTAAAATAACTGGAAGAGTGGAATTGGAATGTTTCTAACACAAAAAGAAATGATAAATGCTTGAGGCAATGGATATCTTGATTACCTTATTTGATCATTACACATTGTACGCTTGTGTCAAAATATCACATGTGCCTTATAAATGTGTACAACTATTAGTTATCCATAAAAATTAAAAATTAAAAAATCCGTAAAATGGTTTAAGCATTCAGCAGTGCTGATCTTTCTTAAATTATTTTTCTAATTTTGGAAAGAAAGCACAAAATCTTTGAATTCACAATTGCTTAAAGACTGAGGTTAACTTGCCAGTGGCAGGCTTGAGAGATGAGAGAACTAACGTCAGAGGATAGATGGTTTCTTGTACAAATAACACCCCCTTATGTATTGTTCTCCACCACCCCCGCCCAAAAAGCTACTCGACCTATGAAACAAATCACACTATGAGCACAGATAACCCCAGGCTTCAGGTCTGTAATCTGACTGTGGCCATCGGCAACCAGAAATGAGTTTCTTTCTAATCAGTCTTGCATCAGTCTCCAGTCATTCATATAAAGGAGCCCGGGGATGGGAGGATTCGCATTGCTCTTCAGCACCAGGGTTCTGGACAGCGCCCCAAGCAGGCAGCTGATCGCACGCCCCTTCCTCTCAATCTCCGCCAGCGCTGCTACTGCCCCTCTAGTACCCCCTGCTGCAGAGAAAGAATATTACACCGGGATCCATGCAGCCAGCAATGATGATGTTTTCCAGTAAATACTGGGCACGGAGAGGGTTTTCCCTGGATTCAGCAGTGCCCGAAGAGCATCAGCTACTTGGCAGCTCAACAGTGAGTACTACGTACCTGGCACTATGGAGAATTATTTTTTAGGGTGTGACCATCTTCTCCTCACCATATGAATCCCTTTTGTAGTGTAAGCACGCACACCTCAAATTTCTCCTTCTTTATAATCTGTCTACCCTGCTTTCCTCCTGTCTGCCTCCAGTCTTCCTCTTCTCTCCATAAGTAAAGCGAGTGTGCCAATCACTGCGTGCTCAACTTTTTTTCCGCAAAGTTTGTAAGTAGAGAGTTAAGAAGTTCCTGAACATTAAGAATGAGAGATTGTATGAATCAATGTCTTAAATCTACAGCCAAAAAAAAAAAAAAAAAAATGGAGTGTGAAGAATTTTGAAAAGCCGTTTATTATGAGGAGGAGGAGTAGGGAGAACAAATTAAATAAATTTCCACGGTTTTCAGAAGATCATTGTGTCTCCTACACCCCCTTCAGTTTACAAAGCCTGGTCTTTAAACATAGAACTATTATTTTCTCTTCTTAGTTATGGGTGCAGGTTATTGGAATAAAAGAAAGATTGGATTCCTTTCAAAAGTTTTTCTGTGTTTCACATTGCTCAATTTTTTTCAGTTTACTTGATGGAATAATGAAAGCAATACACCACTTGCTATAGTATTTAAGGGAGTTTTATGTTTATAATATCTACAGGATAAAAAAGCAGTATTTGCAGGATTTTAGATCCTGCTTTCAGGTAGTAGTCATGGGATTTAATAAAAACCACGAAATAAAAATGTATCCAGGTCCTAGTCATTAAAAATATTAAATGGTATTTTATTACTGTACTATCAGAGTTTATCAACCAAATCCAATTCAGTCTGTATCATAGAATCATCTGTTTTAATTTCGTAGCTCCAAATATGTGCCAGAGGGCTGCGTTGGACTGACATATTATTACTGATAAAAATGTTGAAAAGTAAACATGGCAACTTCTGTAGAATTATTTAAATCAATTTGCAAAAATGAGGCCAAAATGTAAATAGATTTTTTAACATTTAAATATCATGAATATTTGGATGAGATATTACAATGAAGAGTTTTGAAGTCATAATTAACTGCTAGAAGGAAAACAAAGTAAGCTCAGGGTAATGGTTAATGTATGACCCTTTTATATAAAAAATGCTACTTCTGTATGCAAGATCTGTGTGTTGTGTGGTGAGGAGGAGGCAGATGTTAAGAACACTGAGACATTTGAGCTTTTAATGACTAAACATACTGTCAAATGTCAATGTCTGCATAAACTTCTTCCCTCCCTCAAGTCATAAATAATAAAATCTCCATCTCTATTATATATAAATCTAGTGAGTAAGGCAATACTGATGTGTGAAAATAAAGCCAGTAGAGAAATCAGAAGAAGACAATGGCAGATAACTATTCACTGGGTCCCAAAGCAAACCTACATTTCTCAGTTTCATGAGGATGTAGTAGATTGGTACGATTGTATTAAATCACCATTTGCCAGGAGTTACTTCTATGTCTGCCCAATGCTGTATTTGCATATAAAGAATATAAAACAGACCACATAATTTTGCATTGTCTGTCAAATGAAAGTTTCCAGCTTGTTGTTTTTGTTTTGTTTCCTCCCATTCTATTCCTAAATAAAGTTTCCAGCTTTTTATTCTGCATTTCTGGCAATGTGACCTGAGTTACTGGAATCTGTCATTTTTTTCTTTAGCCAGCAGGATTAATAGACATTACTTCATCAGGCAATATAAAATCTTAAGTGGCTAATGAAGTGTTAATCTTTTTCAGTTTCTCAGATTTTTACTGTTTGCCCCTAATAATTAGCTGGCCAGGTTTCTTCCTTCCTGCCTTTCTCCTTTTTTCCTTTTATTTGTCACTGAATTTTAATAGTCACTTCTCAAATATTATCTTCTGACACAGATGGCCTTAGAGTTAGTTATACATGTGTCTGTGCTGAACTTTTGCAGGCAGATTCACATTGACAATGTGGATCTAACTGAAGAAAGTAATACTACCCATTAATTTCTGGGCATGTGCTGACATATTTTGGAATGAAATCGATATTTTGTTTTTAAAATTTAATTGAAACTAAAATTATTTTCAAAAATATGTTTGATCTTATTTTTAATATGGTTAGTAATTAATATAGTTTCCATAGGATTCAACGAGGCTAAGAGATCAAATTTTGTGCTGTAAAATAATCCTAGAAAGGCAGGAATTTTTCATATATGATATTGCAGGCGTTACGACAGTCAGGTTTTTGTTGCTATTAAAGTGAAGCAAATCTGATCCCCTTTTAATTTCAACCACTAGATGATGTCTTAGACCATTGGAAAATAGTGTCTCAGAATAAATTAGACCAATATTTATGACTGAAAGTTATGAGTGACACGGCAACTTCACCTTAAGTTTGTATGATTGGTGGAGCTTCCAGCTTATGAATGACATGTATGGGAAAAATCTAATTACGGAGGATTCTGGAACCCTAACTAATATTTTGTTTTATTATGCTTCGACATTCCTGAAGCTAAATAAACCTAACTCTGGCAAAAATGACGACAAAGGCAACAAGGGAAGCAGCAAACGTGAAGCTGCTACCGAAAGTGGCAAGACAGCAGTTGTTTTCTCCTTGAAGAATGAAGTTGGTGGATTGGTAAAAGCACTGAGGCTCTTTCAGGTGAATGTGAAATATCATTACATAATTTTAAAAGTGACCGTGTGCCTGGGTACAAACCTGTTATCTGCTATGAAACATTACTGAATCAATTTCTGGATAATGTGGTGAAAGATTCAAAGGAACCAAACTTCGTGAGGCTTTAAAAGGGGAGTTGTCTGTCAAGCAATGAAATAAGCAGAATTGCCTAAGCTGTGGCTTATTAATGCAGAGTTAGCTGGTTAGGAACTCTGAAGACTATTGCCAGGTTAGGAGGTCAGTACTTCAAAAACGTGAGCTTCACACCTGAAAATGAAAACACAAGAGCCAAACAGGGTATCTTAAGTAGCAAGAGCCTGCAACTTGATTTGATTTGTTCAAATTTGAATTTACACATGTCCTAGGAGCATGTTTATTATGAAAAACTGAGATACATGAATATAGGCACACGGTATTCCCCTAAGTCTCATTGTTTATGTGTCTTAATGTATCTTTTTGCGAAGATGAGTCACTCTCCTTATATTATATATTGTTGGGGTAGCTCTTCCCTTATCTTATAGAAATGTTCATAGCATCTTCTCAGGCCCAAATCTGTAGTTTGAACCCTCAAGAAAGATCCTGGTTAGGGATGAGGCTGGAAAAGCCCAGAAAAGCTGTTGTGTTCTTGCCAGCATGTACCTAATGGTTTCTGTACCCATCAGCAAACACCCTCCCTTACAAATGCATTTTGTTTGGGGGCAGTGGCGGTTGATGAGAGCTGTTAAGATAAGGAACCTAGCTCTGCGTGATGCCTTGGGCTGCTAGTGCAGTGGAAAGATAGCTGCAATTGCAGTTAGGGGGTTCAGACCTGTGTTATCCTGGCTTGGCTAAACACTAGCTGCTACTTAGGTTCAATTTCTTTATTTGTAAAATTGCATTAATAATTCCTACCTAACAGGATTGCTGGGACGACATAATATGAGTGAAAGTGCTTTGTAAAGTGTACAACTATGAGGCATTATTATGATGCCTCTATGATGATCATAGCAGGGGAATTAGAAGCCTGATTTGGCAAATAATTTCTTTTTCTCTTTTGACCTCGAAGAAAGGATCAGGCACCATAAACAGTGGTAATGGAAATCTGAGGAAATATTTTACAGACAATTATGTCATCCAAGGCTGTGTCCATACAGTGCCAACGGCAGGCCAATTCAATTAGACAGCTGGGTGCAGTGGATAAATTCCTGGAGAAGGAGTTAGCAGCCCTGAGTTTTCACTCTGCCATCAGCTAGTCACGGGGCCTTAGCTAAGCCATTTAACCCATCTGGACCTCAGTTCCCCTAAAAACATCTACTCTGCTTCAACCAAAGGTCATTAAAAGCCCAACGTGACACAATGTATGTGAAGTCTATTGGGCCTTGAACTTAATCTTAATATTATTATCAGCCAACTGAAAAAACATGCATGATATTATTGTAAAGGTTAATAAAAACAGAAATAGGACATTTAGTTTCCTCATCACAAGACCAGTTTCTTTATATAGGAGAGGGTGCTGTTTGATTTGATACTATGCTGGCACTGGAAACTATCTATCCTGTTCCTATGCTGAAAATTCTGAGATCATCTAGGATTGCATCAGGAATTGTGTTGGTAATCACAGTGTATCATCTGGAGTGAGAAGATGTCTGCTTATTTGTAGGTGGGTTGGGATGGAGAGAACAGAGTCTTCAATTAACTTAGAGGAAATGAAGAACACATCACTGGGGGAAATTCTAACCTGATTTTTAAATATTAAATCACTGCCCTTATCTCTGAGATCCATCATAGAGTGATAGTTGCAGCAACACATCCTTGGCTGAAGCTAGTTTGAAGATTGCCAAAAGAGAGCAATTATTAAATGATCCCATTTAGGGGTTATTATCATTATTTTTTTACCTTTTTTTCACCCTCCTTGCAATCATCTAAGTTGTTTGTTTTCCTTTTGCCTTCAAAGATCCTGTCTTGACTACTTATCTTGCTCCTAATTCTTTTTGTACCATATGGGTTACAGTTTGGCTAGTGTTTCCCAAGCCTCAGTCATTTCCATGCCACCTCCCCAATTTCTGCTTGCCTTTTGTACTGTCTACTTATAAAAAAATTATAAAAGCTTATTTCTGAAAGGTTATTTTAAAACTTTATTTTAAAAGAAAACTTTATATTAGGGGTTTGAGTTTTAGTTATGTTTTTCAGAAACACATAAATCTGGATATTACATGATAATATAATAAATAATTTTTTCCCCAAATAATCACGTGCCACCTGTGGGATGTGTACCACTCTGTGGGAAATGATGATGTTCATTTTACAGGGCCACTTTATATTTTAAATGCCCCTTCTATTTTTTTATGAGGCAGGACAACCTATACACAGAAGTATAAATATATAGATTTTTTATTAATGGAAATAATGGTTGGAAACATTTCCAAGTTTTATTCAAAGAACAAAGAGATTGTCTCTTCCTCTTGTGTGGGTACTTGGCACCTTGCTTAAGATGTGAACAAGAAAAGCTCATGGCATTCCTTTTATTGTCCCTGAAGGTGATTTTCAGATGCTCGTGTTTCCACAGGAAAAACGTGTCAACATGGTTCATATTGAATCCAGGAAATCTCGGCGAAGAAGTTCTGAGGTTGAAATCTTTGTGGACTGTGAGTGTGGGAAAACAGAATTCAATGAGCTCATTCAGTTGCTGAAATTTCAAACCACTATTGTGACGCTGAATCCTCCAGAGAACATTTGGACAGAGGAAGAAGGCAAGGGTGGTCTTAGCTTGTCGGGTAACTTTGCAATCTGACAAATATTGCAAAGGGGAAAACACAATCTGTGAACTAATATTTTTGAACCTGCACTGTTTTCAACAGAGCTAGAGGATGTGCCCTGGTTCCCTCGGAAGATCTCTGAGTTAGACAAATGCTCTCACAGAGTTCTCATGTATGGTTCTGAGCTTGATGCTGACCACCCAGTAAGTGTCCAGTAAAATCTATTTCTCACATGCTCTTTCAGCTCCACCCATGTGCCAGGCACTGTGCCATGTTCTGTGCTGCAATGCTTTATTATAGAACAATTTATTATTTATTCCCCATAACTGAGAGCAGACTTCCAAATGATAAAGCTTCCCTGTACACGTGTTGACTGGAAGCGGGTTAGAAGGATGGTATTTTCACATAGCATTTATTTTTAAAAGGGTTGGATAGAGGAGGAGACGCTAAACCTTGGAGAATATTTCTGTGGAATTAGACAGCCTGAAATATACCTGCAGATGGTGATCCTTGGAAAAACGATGAACTGAAATTGATCATGCCTCTGGGAAACTAGGGAGGACTAGGTATTATGGGGCTCAGTGAGAGAATAAAATTCTTCCTGCTATTTTCCTTGACTGGAGGTAGTTAGGAGTAGAGTAATGTAGTTGACTTCAGTCTCAATGGAAAGGTAGAGAGTTTTAGAATAAAGGCTATGATGGAAGACATATCTCTTCCCACATCTACCCTGAATCTATCTACCATCATTCTTTCCTCTACTCCAATAAAAATGACCATCTGTAAAGAAATATGATACTTGGGTAAGCATTTCCCATTATTCTCCCCTTCCCCCTTTTACATCTGTTTTTATTTAACACAAGAGACCTGGAACTTCTTTATGGCCAGAGTGAAGTACAGTTAATAGTCTGGGAGAAGTAAGCAATGCACCCATTCATTATAGGCATTTTTTCCCTCCCCCAGTGCCCCTTGTCTAAAAATGGGCAGATAAAAGAGTGAAACCCAAGCAGATCACTAACGCTTACAGGGTGCCTCTGTGGTCTGCAGGTAGTAGTTTACAGACATTCCTTGCTGTTTAAACTGAGGAAATCTGGGGGTTTGGCAGTGTGGCTATACTCTGCGCAGTGGCTCTCTAAGTGCGACCCCAACATCAGCAGTGTCAGTATCACCTGGGAATTTGTTTTAACAAGCCCGCCCTTAAGTTTGAGAACCCCTGTTTTAAAGGAAACTATGACAACTTTAACCCTAGGGAAATCTTCAATTAAACCAGTCATTTGACATAATATACCAACTCAGACCAATTCAAATATACCATTCAAACAAATGGTCAAACAGACCTAATTCAATTGCATTATTTTCAAAAAGCTGAATTCTCTCAAAGAAACAATGTGTTATATTTGCTAACATAGCCTAAAATTTCAGAATATTTTCCAGTAATTCACATGTAAGGCTTCTGAACATTAGAAAAACATTAAAAAATAGCTTTAGTAATCACCCATTGTTATCTTTCCCCTCTCTCAACTTCCAGAAGGCATCAGAATTAGCACGGGAACCTGACGTAGGAGCTAAGCAGTACCCGGGCTGCACAGACACCAGCTGTTAACTTGCAGAATGACCTTGGCCAAGTCCCTTTACCTCTGCACCTCAAGTTCTTTATGTAAAAAGTGGAAATAAAATTGTTACTGACCTCAAAGGGGTGTTTGAAAAGCCTAGTTAATAAAACAACTGGAAAGCATTTGGCAAGAGTAAATGCTTAATTCCAGAAATAGAAATGCTGTATTAAATCATCCGGATCAATGCCTGGACACTAAAGGATTTTTTGATAACCTCCTATTTCCAAATGCTCCCCTTAGTCTAGTTTGAAAATTACTCAACCTGGAGAAAGGAGTTCAGCCATTTTAATGGAACAACCATAGGAACCACTGACCTTGCTGAGAAAAAATTTATTCCAATACCCAGCATAAATTTTCCTGTGCTTAATTTTATTCCATTACTCCTAATTATACCCACCTTATGATACCTTCTCTTATTTTCTGTGCAGCCACTTGAAATAATTGCAAGCACTTAGCAATCCCCTCTCTTGTCATTTTTTAAACCGCATATATTTCTTTTATACGCACACCAAATGTTCATTATACAGAATGTGATATTGGCAAATTGGTGTTTTTGTAAGTTGTTTGATGAGGATGGAAAAGTTGTCTAAGCACTTTTTCTGCCTGGGAATAATCCCAGTCCTGAGACAAACACAGGGACCGTTGTGATAGGATACTTCAGAAGGGGCTTGGAATATAAGAGTAAGGTTGCCGAGGCTCCCTAGAAAGGGTTAAATATCTAGGTCAGTGCCTCTCAAACCTCAGGGGGCAAACTAATCACCTTCGAGATCATTTTTAAATGCAGATAATGAGTCTGTAGGGCCTGGGATTCTATTTCTGGTGATCTCCCAGATAAGGCTTGCACCAGAGGGTCTTGGGACCACACTTTGAGGAGCCAGCATCTAGACTGGGAAGGTCTTTCGAAGTGGGGGTTCAAGGTTCACTCATAAGGTGTTTGTTAAAAATACAATATCTTGATGCTCATCTGAAGCCTACTGAGTCAGAACTTTCAGGGATGGCCCAGGAATCTGCATTTCAAGGTATCTGCAGGGGATCCTGATGAGATCTAAAGTTTGAGAACTAATGTCTTAATTAATGTTCCAGCTCAGCGATTCTCATCCCTAGCTTTCCATTCACATCACATGTGGAGAATTAAAAAATACTGATGCCAGGGCCTCTGGGAATGTGGCCAGGTTTGATGTATTATTTAAAGCTCCCAGGTGATTCTAATATTCCATCACTGTTGACCTATTTGGGGTAGCTAATTGAGTGTCAACACAAATTTAGCTGAGCACTTTAGAGTTCAGGCTGGGTCTTCAATTTCCTTTGATTTCAATTGAGAGAGGGAGGGTGGGTACTCTCTGGCTGCTAGGGTTGCCAGATTTAGCAAATAAATATCTAGGATGCCCAGTTAAATTTGAGTTTCAGATAAATAAGGAGTAGTTTTGTGGTATAAGTATGTCCCATGCAATACTTGGAACATATTTATACTAAAAAGATTATTTGTTGTTTATCTGAAATTCAAATTTAACTGAGTGCCCTGTGTTTTATCCGGTAACCCTATCCCTGGCTTCAGTTCAGAATGGATGGCCAAGGAATGCTGTTTCTCTGTCACTACTAGTGCAGCTAGCGTCCCTAGTTTACTTTGCCAGTCCATGGTTCAATCCAGGAAGTTCTGGATCGCCCACAACATTTGCGTAATCACCGCCACACTAAGCTAATGAGGCATGATGAGTAAATCGCTCTCTTGCGTCCTTGGAAAAGGTGCAGGTGTTTGCAGAAGAGAGGCAGTTGAGATTCTTCAGGAGGCCCAGCAGATTATGATGCCGTTACCATGGTGTCCAGTCTGGCAGGAACCGGGGAACAGATGCTGTGCTTTTCACAGGACGCTTTTCCTTTTGTCATGGCCTGTTTTCTTTTTGAATAATAAAGGTGCTTGGAATTCTTTGGTTTTACCATCTCAAGTAGCCTGGTTTTACTAGTGAGTGTTGAAACAAGTACTTTCTAGCATGACTGCATCTACCCTCTCCAGCAGGAGACCTTTTTAAAGGGCACAGATCTATTTGTGAATGTGGTAACTATTTATTTTATTTTATTATTATTATTATTATTTTTTACCAAATACCCAAACTTCAAGGACTGTGGTAAGTATTTTGTAAAATTTTTTATATAGACATTTTAGGACTTCACAAGCCTGCCTATGAACCCCAGTTTAAAAACTCCCAATTCACAGTAAAAGAAAGTGCTAGTTTCTTGGACAGAGGATACTTCATTTCTACATGGTGTTAAGGTGGTCTCAGGGCATCTTCTCTCTCCTCCCCTTAGTAACTCTCTTGTCATTCCTGAAAGAAAGGTTGTTGACAATGGAAGTTCTTCATTTCTGTCAAGCAGACAGCCCTGTGAAGATTTCTAGCCTCGAGGCCAGTTCTCTCCAGCCAGGCAAGAGAGGGGCGATTTGCTAATGAGTTTGAGGCTCCTCTTGAGCGGCCCATCTTGCAGAGCTGTCTTAGGTTCAGCAGAGGTAGTCTAGGCCTTTGTGGGCCTCACCCTGTTCTTCACTCTCCAGTGCCATGATCCCAGTGGCTTGTCTCCTTGCCTGGACTCCATTCTTAGCAAGCCATTGCTTCCTGGTTATCCTTCCAGGTTGCAGGGCTGTAGTGGTAGGAGTCAAATTGCAATAACTCCTTCTGAGCTTCCAACAGCTAGAAGAAACAACCCTGGAAAGAATTGATTGTCTGAAAGTGCTTAAAGGAAAGGAAAATGGAAAGTCTGTTGACAAGAGGAGAGATTTTTGGGTAAACCAAGAAGTCCTCTCTGAAGGATTTCACTTGACTGAAAAATGACAGACATAATGTTTAATTTCCCAAGTGGCTGATGATGGATAAAAATCTTGAAGTTGGCTAAGACTAACTAGAATTATAAGAAGTCAGAGTGAAATGGTGCCAGGCTTCTGTCCTGTGCATGAATTCCCTAAAATCGATTTTGCATTATGTGGCTGTAGTCATAAAATACAGCAAAACCTCTTTAATTCATACTAATTTGGGAATGTGTCTATTATTCTAAATGATAGAATTTATAATAAATGTCACATTTATTAGTTATTTATACAAAGCAATTAAAATTAGGTTAAGTTACTGAATAATCATGTTAAAGGGATCTGTTTTAATGAATAGGATAGGATTAATTTGTGATTAAGATCAATTACATGCAAATGATATTTGAAAACCTAAAGGTATTGTTCACAATATCAATTTGCTCAACTAAGCCATTCTGCTTACTTAGTGGAAAGGTAAACTTTAGCCTGAATTGCCACACATCCTAAATTAGTATAGCCCCAATTTAATGAGGTTTTACTGTAAGCACAATTTGTTTCTGTCTGTGTCATCAAGATGGCCATCCTAGGATAAGATTTACATATGAATTGAACACTCAGACACCACAGTGATTTTCTTTTAGGTCTTCTGCAGCTAATTTTCAGCACTTTGTTAAATAACTTAATCTTTTTTGTGTTTAAGGGATTTAAGGACAATGTCTATCGACAGAGAAGAAAGTATTTTGTGGATGTGGCCATGGGTTATAAATAGTAAGTACCTGTATAACTCTTTCTTGTCACTGGCTAGTTAGGAAAAACACATGCTGTGTTAAACAAACCTGTCATCTCTTCACTTTAACTTTTGCAGAAAGCAGGTGTGAACCATTTTAAACACTCACCAACTCTGTAGGCTTTAAATGCCAACACTGATGTTTGACATCTGGGTATAATTGTAAAATAATGAGACCTGTGAGCCACATGCCAAGTGCTACGTTTACACCATTGTTTCCAGCTCCACCAAGACAAAGACCATTTCTGTGCACTCTGCAGGCCTTAGAAACTGTGTTTTAATTTTAATTTTACTTTAGCCTTGACTTTTCAGTAACCCCCTTCAGTCTCCTGCTTCCCCGATGAAAGTAGAGGATTCAGCAAGAACGGTGAAAGGGCTCAGTTAAGGAGCCGTAATAGAGAAGACATGTGTTTGTTTTACATGGAGAGGAAAACTTCCTGTAAACTGCAGGGGTTATGAAGGAGTTTCACACCCATTCCCAGATCAGAGTTGGGATGGAAGAGGAGGACCTAACTTCGGGGTGAGGACTGTGCATAGTACATGATGCTAAGTGGCAGTGACTTTCACTCGCATCCGTGTGAAGAGACCACCAAACAGGCTTTGTGTGAGCAATAAAGCTGTTGATTTCACCTGGGTGCAGGTGGGCTGAGTCCGAAAAGAGAGTCAGCGAAGGGAGATAAGGGTGGGGCCATTTTATAGGATTTGGGTCAATAAAGGAAAATTACAGTCAAAGGGGGGTTGTTCTCTGGTGGGCAGAGTGGGGGTTACAAGGTGCTCAGTAGGCTTAGCTTGGGCTCAGAGGCCTGACAGTGACAGGATGTGTTTGTGACTGGAAATGGTGTTGTATGTTGACTGCAGGCCATGTTTAGAAAAATGCAGTGGTGGTTAGGCCTGTGTTTGTTCTACTCATGCTAGTATAACTCATAGATCATCACAATGCTCTCTTTCCTCTGTCTGGTATGATTGATCAAGCTACAGGAAACTTGTCATCAGAACAAAATGCAAATCCATCTCGTAAGGGAAAGATTCGTCCTACCCCAATTGAGAGTAGGTGTGAAACTTGACTGTCCTGTGAGGCGAATTTTTCACTGGTGAAAGTTTAGAACATTACGTGTGTTATAGAGGGTCTCAGTGTGGGCTTTGTTTATAAAAAGGGATTTGACCCATGGTGCTTAAGACAGATGAGAAGATTCTTCATCCCACCTCTCACTGGGCATCCCTAGCTTCCTTTGATGCTTAGGTGCTCTTCCCTTCATCCTCCCAAGTCCCAGGCATCCTTCGTCCTTTCTCCACGACATTTAGGAAAACAATGTTCTTAAAAACCAGGACCACATGGCACATGTCCTTTCACATGTGCCTATTCTCATCTCCTCTGTTCTAAGCAGCTTCTTTCCCCTCTCTACTGTGACTTTCCACACCTTGCAATGTCAGCATGCACTTGCCCTAGCCCAAGCCCAACCTCAGGCCCCCTTCTTACCCTCAGTACCACCCCCGCTAGCCCCATGTCCCAGTGTTTCCTGATTAAATTGCCAAGAGAGGACTCGGATGGGCTGAGCTCACATTTTCACCTCAGGCCCTGATGATGGTTGTGAGCCTTATGATTGGCTTCCCCTGGTCCACAGGCTCCTTCTGCGGAATCAGGTCATGACTGTAAAGGTGGATCCTTAGAGGGGGTGTGGGCAGGGCAGTTCTTTGTAGCATGACCAGCCAGAACATGGTAGAAGCTCAATGCCTGGCAGAGCCTTTTCCCTTAGATAAAGTAGATAGCTTCGTCACTCAGTCTGCCTCCTGAGTAGCTGGGACTACAGGTGTGTGCCACCATGCCCAGCTAATTTTTAAAATTTACTTTTTGTATTTTTGACAGGGTTTTGCTTTGTTGCTCTGACTGTTCTCAAACTCCTGGGCTCAAGTGATCCTCCTGCCTTGGCCTCCCAAACTATTGGGATTATAGGTGTTTGCCATTGTGCTTGGCCAGAAAATGTATTTTATATGTAGATGCTATATGTTTTATGTATGTGTGTGTGTGCATGTGTGTGTGTGTGTGTGTGTGTATAAAATGACATGATTTCGGCCGGGTACAGTGGCTCATGCCTGTAATCTCAGCACTTTGGGAGGCTGAGGCAGGCAGATCACCTGAGGTCAGGAGTTCAAGACCAGCCTGACCAACATGGAGAAACCCTGTCTCTACTGAATATACAAAATTAACCAGGCATGGTGGTGCATGCCTGTAATCCCAGCTACTTGGGAGGCTGAGGCAGGAGAATCGCTTGAACCTGGGAGGCAGAGGTTGCAGTGAGCCAAGACTAAGGGACTAGCTCAAGGGTTACTTATTTCTTCTTGATAGAATTCAAAAGCTAAACAAAGGCAAGCTGATGTTGTGGTGATACAAGTAGAATATATGAGTCAACCAGTTTCATGGAACTTTGGTAATGAGGAGTCATTTGGTTTTAAAGAAAACATATTTATATGGAGAGGACAGAAAATGAGCATATAGTCAAAATGATGGAGAGTGAGGTTCTCAAAGTGTTAACAAGAGTTTGCGTTTGCCACCTTTGCATAGCTAAAGAGTAAGATGAAGGTGTGATGTCTGTAGAGAAAAAAAAGTAGAGATTGGAGAAACTGGTGGACATTTACACAAAAGAGGGCTGGATGGAGCTGGGGCATTCCAGGATCTGGTCCCAGTTTGGAGGGCTGGGAAGTGCTAAGGTTCAAGGGGCCTGGCTGTTGGTAACTGAATGTTCAGGAAGCCAAGAGAGCCAGGAAATGGCCAATTCATCATTTTATAGTGAGAAACAACCCTCATAGGACTCACAAAATGATCCTTATAGTCATGATAGCAGAGGAGGCCAGATTATAACCTTAGGCTACTTGGTGGATGCAGAGTCAAGTCAAAGCAAAGGGTATTTACCTAAGAGAGCTTAGAATCCAGGGAATTATAGCCCTCTCCCCTGGATGGTGCTGAGCCCAGACTGACCTAGGCAGGATAACAGCATGCTTAAAAACTGCAGCATTGGACTCCAATAGTCTGGGCTTGTGTGCACTCCTCTCCTCCAAGCCAGATGTGCAACCTCATTGTGCCAAGGCTGCTTCATCTGGGAAGTGTGCCCAACAATAAGACCCATTTCACAGGGTTGTATTAAGAACTAAAACAGAGAATGCATGTGCTGTACCTCACACATCGCCCAACACATGACCAATGATTATAAATGTCACTTATATTATTAGGTTTAATACATCTCCCCAGACCATTTCCACAGGCTGTCTTCCATTTCCAGTGGACCTACTGTTTTCTTCTTTAGTGATGTTAATACCGTTGTTTATATGCCATTTACAAATAATGTAGCTCAAAACATTCTTGGAAGAAACTGTTTAGTTTCCCATTGAAGGGCTGTTGCATATACAGAAGTATTTTGTGTTGACCCACATTCCTCTTTACAGAGAGATTTCATAAAAAGCAGTCATATTCCTCCCCACCCCCTTTTCCCTGCTTTTTTTTTTTTGCACATGGGAAGCTGCCAAAATACAGACTGCCAGTACTTCTTGTGAGTGGATGAACTGAGGAAGGTGCCTACCAAAGGTAGTTAAATCAGGAAAGCACGAACCCAGGACTTGTGGGAAGTAGAGCCAAGGATCATTCCTTAATGCCCCGCATGCTGTCATTGCTAAAGTTTCTCTGAGTATGAGTTTGAGGATGGATAAGAGAGAGACAGTCCTGTGTGTCACTTTTGGGCTCTTGTGCCTGCCATGGTGCTGGTGGGGGTGGGGCACAGATACTAACGAATTCCAAATGGGCCTTGTCCATTTTCTCCAGGCTGCCATGTAGCAAGTAAGGTTTCCCTTCAGTTTATAGGAAACAGAGACGCAATTTCTAATTGAAATAGGTATTTTTCTAGTGCTGATGGTTTTCTGAGTACATAAAGGAGAGTGACGTGAATACCATAATTACTTAAAATAATCTCATTTAAGTGTGCAACAACCTGATTTTCCAAACTGATGTTTAGAACCACTTTGTCCAAGGGATAGATCATTTGAGATTGGGGTAGTTTTGAAAAATCTGGCGTATGCAGTCCTCGCAAATATAGTTTGGTGATAAAATTAGGGACCATGCTGGCAGGCGGAGAACAATTCAATTCCCTGTTGATAATTAGTTAAGACTTTCTGGACAAGAAGAAGAAGTCAAACATGTGGTCAGAAATACAGAGAAAGATGGAGTATGGATATTTTGGGGTTGTAATAGGGGTTAGCAGGATATAGTTTGAGTTGTCTAAAGGTAAGGAGAAGGCAAAGAAATGAAATACAGAATAATATATATTGAAACCACAACCAAGAAGCCCTCTGGGGGATTCGTGTTGAATACTATATTTTCTGTGATATTCTTGAAAGGATAAATCAGGGGGGAAGAATAAACACAAGCAGAGAAAAATGAAAAAATTCCACTCTATGATGAAAAAACAGCAGGCTCAAAGTCTGTATTACCATGAACCCGAAAGAGGAGAGGGGGCGGGAAAGCGCCGGCATGCTAACTGTCGATAGATGCCACTCAGGCGAGCTTCTGATTGACAGTGCTGCTGAGAAACATGATTGATTACCCAGAGGCCCACAGCAGCCTGCAGACATGAGTGTGGGAAGGCCTAATTGCCTCACCAATAATAGCGCAGGAAACACTCATTAGTGCAAATATCATTCTTCATAGAAGATCTGAGAATGAACGCCCTGTATCGAGAGGACACTTTCTAAAATCATCTGTGAGAGAATGTCTAACACGCAGATCATGCCTCTCCTCCCCCGCCCAAATAAAATAAATTCTAGTATAAACAGGAAAAAAGTACCCCATGATTAGATAATGTGATGTGCATATAGACTTGCAGTTCAGAGGAAATGGAAGTGTGTGGGGGGCAGATAGCCTGTGGAGGAAGAGGAAATTATGACTGCGATGTAGTAGTTGTTAGGTTTGTCTGAAACTGTCCAGTTTTCTCTCTTTAGTGCCTTCATATTTGAATCTCAGCATTAACATTGCTGCATTTCTGTGGACTTCACAATTACTATATTGTTGGGGGAACAATCAGTGATACGTTTTTTCAATTGACTAGAAATAAACACATTTTTCTTTTGGGGGCTGTTACAATGATTATTCCTCAACAATATGCATGCATATTTAATTTTTTTTTTCGTGGGGATGGTGGTAGTTATTTCAATCCATCTTATTCTCTTGGAAAGAGGCCCTGAGCTCCTACTTTAATTATGCCACTCTTGTTTGCTTAAATTGATTTTGAATATTATTGTGATTGTGTTTTATTATGAATGTACCTACTCCTGGTTGAAAGTAAGGTAGCCCATGAACCTCATGTTCTTCTCATGGGGCTGCTTCCTCTTTGATTTATTTATTTTTATCCATGGAATCTGAAATGTAAATAGGCAACTACAACTGTCAATAGGTAAGGTAAACAAGAGAGTTTCAACATGTTAGAATTTCCAACTCTAATTTAGGTTAGAGTTGGACAATTCCTTAATTTGCCAAGAAAACTCATTTGATTTAAAATTCACCGATTCAAATCATCCCTTAACATTGCTCAGCCTCAGTTTTTCTCCTCTGTAAAATGGAGACAAAACTATCTCTTCGGCCTCTCCTGGGAGGTTTTTTTAAGGATTAAGTGAAGTAAGTGGGGCATTGCTATACAATGTACTTTGTTATCCTTATTAAAACAAGAATCAAACAATCTAGACCAAAGGCATGGGGTTTACTCAGACCCCTGACAACATAAAGGCCTTGGCTGCTTTTCCTGTTTTTCTTTAGATCTGAGAGGCAGCGTGTGAAGCTGTTAAGTGTCAAAAGTCGGAGCTGCACTGCCTGGGGTGAATCCCAGCTTTACCATTTACTAACTGAGTGACCTGGGCAAATTGTTTAAATCTTCTGTACCTCAGTTTCCTTATCTGTAAAATGAGGATAACTCTAGTACTACTTTATAGGATTGTTATGTGGATTACATGAGCGAATATAGTAACAAAACTTAGAACACTACATGTGCTATATAAATATTTAATAATATTGTTATTTTCTCACTTCAGATGATCTCTTCTTTTTGTCTGTCCTCATGCTCCAAATCATTTTATTACCCTTTGGTTGCCAGTCTTCTCCACTCCCCTCGGCCAAGGCTTTTGTATAATCCTGACTTCTGTCTGATTTTTACACTATATTAGTTATTGATACATAAAAAATAATCCTCAAATTTAGCACCTTAAAACAACAAACATTTATTATCTCACATAGTTTCTGAGTATCAAGAATTAGGGAACAGCCTAGCTGGAGGGTTCTAGATTAGGGTCTCTCATAAAGCAAACTGTTGACCAGGGAAACCATCATCCAAAGGCTTGACTAGGGCCAGAGGACCTGCTTCCAATATGGTTACTCATAGGGCTGTTTGCAGGAGGCGTCAGTGTTTAGCAACGTGGCCTCTCTACCAGGCAGCCTGAATATCTTCAAGATACTGTAGCTGGCTTCTCCCAAATCATGTGATCCAAGAGAGTGAGCAAGGCAGAATCTATAATGCCTTTTATAACCTAGCATTGGAAGTGACACACCATCACTCTTGCTGTATCCATTAGATTCATAGACCAACTGTGACACACTGTGGGAAGGGATTACACATGGGCATGAATATCAGGAGTCAGGGTTCACTGAGGACCATCTGGGAGGTTGGGTACCACATTCATTTAACTTGTTCCCTCCCTCCCTCTCCTTCCCTCTCTCCCTCCCTCCCTCCCTTCCTCCCTTCCTCCCTTTCTTCCTTCCTTCCTTCCCTCCTTCCCTCCTTCCCTCCTTCTTTCCCTCCCTCCCTCCTTCCCTCCTTCCCTCCTTCTTTCCCTCCTTCCCTCCTTCCCTCCTTCCTTCCTTCTTTCCCTCCTTCCTTCCCTCTTTCCCTCCTTCCCTCTTTCTCTCCTTCCTTCCTTTTTTTGAAACAGGGTCTCACTCTGTTGCCTGAGCTGGAGTGCAGTGGTATGATTTTAGCTCACTGCAACCTTGACCTATCGGGCTCAGGTGATCCTCCTGCCTCAGCCTCCCGAGTAGCTGGGACCACAGGTGCATGCCATCATGCCTGGCTAATTTTTGTATCTTTTGTAGAGATGGGGTTTCCCCGTGTTGCCCAGGCTGGTCTCAGACTCTTGGGCTCAAGCAATCTGTCTGCCTTGGCCTCCCAAAGTGCTAGGATTACAGGTGTGAGCCACTGTGGCTGGCCCCATTTCATTTCTTTATGACACTTTTTAACTGCTCTCCCACAGTGGGAGCTAATGTGCTATCTGTACAACTAATCCCTATGAAAGAAGAGGTAGCATGGTGTAGCAGAAGATGTGGCAGAATGTATAGGATTTGGAGCTAGACAGAATTAGGTTTGAATTCCCGCTCTACCACTTAAAAGCTCTGTGGTCATGGGCAGTGACCTAGTCTCTCTAATTCTCAAGCTGTCATCTTAAAATGGGCACAACACCTTGCATGATTGGGAGGATTAGCAATGATTACAGGACTCAGAGTGCTGACTGGCACAAGGAGATATTAAATCTATGATAGATATGATTATTAGTGTCATGTGGTAAATAGCTAATTGTTCTTCAATTTCATATAATCAATTGTTAGGCTCATTTAAAATGAGTAAAGGATTTTTTTTTTTTTTTTTTTTTTTTGTGAGACAGGATCTCGCTCTGGTCACCCAGGCTGGAGTGCAGTGTCATGCTCATGGGTCACTGCAGCCTCCACCTCCCAGGCTCAAGTGATCCTCCCACCTCAGCCTCTTGAGTTGCTGGGACTACAGGTGTGTGCCACCATATCTGGCTAATTTTTCATATTTTGTAGAGACACAGGTCTCACTATGTTGCCCAGGCTAGTCTTGAACTCTGGCCTCAAACAATCCTCCTGCCTCGGCCTCCCAAAGTGATGGGATTATAATTGTAAGCCACTGCACCAGACTCTAAAGGATCTTAAGGAGTAATTGAATTAAGGAATTTCAGGCTCCATAATGGGCTGGGTTAAAGGAACTTTTAAAAAATAGGGGTGTGTGGGTGTGTGTGTGAGGGGACCTCCCAGCTTCACATAAATCATGCACATAGTTTGCTTCTTTAATCTGGAAAATTGCCCCCTCAAAGGCCTTCCCAGGTCAATGTGTCTCAGCCAGAATAAGGTTGGAGGATAAGCTCGCAACAGGGCTATGTTGGACTCATCCCTGAATGGCTCATTTTGGTAAAAATGTTCATTATGTTGACCTCTCAGCTAACACTTTCAGATTGTATTAGGTTCCTTTTCTTAGATCCTGCACTGTGTTAAACGTGTCACTTGATTTTCTGTCATTTAACCACACAACGAGCCCTTGAGGTAGGTGCCATTATTGTACGCACTTTGAAGATGAGGAAACTGATCTTCGGAGACATTAAGAAACTTACTAAAGGTTACACAGCTGATTGTGCCACTTGCATGAAACACCAGGTATAGATGCTTAAAATTCCTCTGAAATGGAGCAGTAAATTGAAGAGCAGAACTGAAGCAAATATTTATAGTACTAGGGTCATTTCCTGGATGGCCAGAATAGTTTCTGAGTAAGGTCACTTTTAGAGGTTCCAAGAATGCCTCTGGTAGAATCTAAATGTCTGCTCAAAAGTCCACACCGTTTTCTTTTTTGTTTTCTGAAGTGGCTTCAGCAACTTCCACTTGACATAGGTGGTTTCATACACAAGTTGGGAATAACAGTGACAGAACTAAGTGACTTGGCATTTGTAAAAGTTATTCTCCTTACAGAATTCTCAGCATATTTGAAATGCACCATCCTTGTAAGTATTTAATACACTTAGAATTTTATGGACTCAGAACTCAAACCAGTCCTGTGACACTGCAAACCTGTTTCTCGCAGGTTGTTGGGGACATCTGCCAGGGTCTGGCATGGCAGAACCATGTCTCCATTCTGTGTGGTGATTTTTCCCTCTCTCCCAGGCCCCATGCTATTCTCCTCCTACCCAAAGCCTGACCCTCGTGAGATACAGAATGAATGGAAATAAACACAGCTGGGCTGAGGCTTGAAAATCAATTGCCAGGGATGTGTCACTCTGGTTTTTACTAGTTGCTAGCTTATCTATTTCTTGATTTTTTTATTTATAAAATTGCACCCTTTGTGATTCATTTGCTCTGAGTGTAAGTACACAGCTAAACAGAGACCCTAAAACAAAACAGCTCCAACAGAGGACTAGCATATCTGAAAAATGCAATCACCAGCTCAGCAGGCACATTCAATTTGGGTGAGCTTGTGAATATTCTACTCAGCTCTATCAGAGAGACAGAGAATTTTCTCCTTTTACATGGAGTGGTGTTGATTCTAACCTTCTATTCTCATCGAAGCAGAGAAGGGCATTTTTTTTTTTTTTACCCTCCTCTTCCTGCTTATACTGCCAAGTACTACATGATGTCAAAACAAAACCCTCTGGGACTGAGATTCAGTACTGTGCAGTGCATTTTAAGATATTTGAGTAGATACATAAATATGGAATGGATGTACCTTGGAATGAACATATTGGATTTCCAAGCCAGCATCTCACTTCTTAGGAGGTCTTCTCAGTTTCCTCTTTCACTAGATGACTCAGCCATAGGTCTGCAAAGAAAAAGAAAGAGACAGATGATCAGAGACTAATAAGGGTAGACTGCAGACTTGGAGTAGAGCTGTTTTGCTGCCCTGCTTCTCGCGTCCTAGTGCTCAGTACTGTGCGCACTAGGGCTTCTCCACTTGCAGGTAGCTGTGACAGTTTAGCTTTGTGTCTGAGCTAGGGGATTACTGATGCTGAGTTTTTCCTAAGAGGCATTTGCAATTATTGCAACTTGCAGAAAAATAACTGGGGTGGCTCTACCTCTCCACCTTTCCAGAAATTTCAGTTGACCTTAGCATTTCTCATTTCATGAGAGAAGAGGCATGATTTATGGATCCTGCTTGGTTTCAGAATGTAGCTTAAAGGAATACATTACTAAAGGAGTTGTGAGTGCCACATTACCTATTTTTAGATAGGCGAATCTTAATTGGAAGCATAACAAGTAGAAGGTAGAGGAAGAATGGAAGGGAAGGTTATGCTTTCTTAACAGGGAAAAAAACTTAATTGGGGGGGGCGTTGCAAGTTTTTCTTTTTAATGATGTTTTCCTCATCAATTTCATTGGCAGGTGGTCACCTTGATGAATTGTAGGCTCTACTGTGATGTGAAACCAAGCTTTAATTTTTTTCCTTTCGCTGCCCTTTTGAGAAGAGGCACCTTAGAAGGCAAATATGTTTTCTCCCTGACTGAGCTAATTTTATCCCATTCCATTATCTTCCATTGATTTGCTTTCTCAGGTTTTGAATGAAACTGAGATATATGTGGCTGTTTGGGTACTTTGTGACTCCTGCATAAACACTAGTTGTTGATGCTTTAATTTCTCTGAAATGAAGCGGTAAATTGAAAAGTAGAACAAAACCAAATATTTGTAGTACTGGGGTCATTTCCCAGATGAATAGGATAGTTTCTGAGGAAGGTCATATTAGGGATTTTTAGAGTGCTTCTCCTGTAGAATTCAAATATCTTTCTCTGCCCAAGATGCCACGTCTTTTCTTTTTTAAAAAATCTGCTTAGCAACTTCCATTTGACATAGGTGGTATCACACACAGGTTGAAAACAAGACCAATAGAATTAAGTGACTTGGGTTTTTATAAAGTTATCCTTCTCTTTACAGAAGTCTTAGTGTATTTGAAATGCACAGTTCTTATAAGTATTTAAAATACTTCAGGCTTTATGGGAGAATCATTTTCATGCCAAGTGTTTCTCTCTACCTGAAGCGCAGCTCAGTGGCTGAAAGGAAGGGAGCCTGAGAGTTGCAAAGAAAGACAAAAGGGAAAATTGATTTGGAAAAGGTTTCTCCTTTTTGCTTTTTGGGCTTGGTGGGTTTTTTAGATGTGTGTGAATGCCTCAGTAGGATGTTGTCTGATTATAGCATGGCTCCCACAGCTGTGGAAAACATTAACGCAATATGGTCCTGTATCACTTACTGACAAGGACAACAGTTGCACCAAATTCTAATGTATTTCACAGGGAAAGAGGTATGAGTATTTTTACTTTAAAATGATTTTCATGAACATGAAGGATTCGAATTACTTCCACAAGTCCTGCTTGAGAGGTGAATGGATTTATATGGAACAGTGCTGTTTTGTCATCTCCAGACCTGTTTCCAACCCTGCAGGGAAGTGATGAAATTTTATTCATTTTTATACACCTGGAGGAAGAGAATCAACTATATTGAGTACCTATTAGGCACTAGGCACTGGCCAGGATGTTTTACAGATGACCTCTCATTTGATCCTCACGATGTGAGAAGTCTTATTTCCCTCAGTTTCGAATGAGGAAACGGAGGCCAAACCTTGATGCTAGGTACATATTGGGTACTCAGTACCTTGTACTGATGTGTATTGGTCAAGAGTGGGGTCTCTAGAGCTAGCCTTCCTATAGCTGAGTCCCCACTATTGTACTTACTAGCTGTTTGATCTTGGACAGATTATTACATTTGTAAGCCTCAGTTTCTTCAACAGTTAAGTGAGGACATGAATAGTCATTTAGTCACTCTGTGGGATAAGCATTATATGACATAATCCATGTAATGAACTATTATAGTATTGTTATTGTCACAGTGAAATGGGTGGGTGAATAAATGAATGCTGTTATTAATTTGCACAAGACCATGAGCTGTAGGATAATCACGCTTCTTCATCTATCACTCTGAAAAAGATAGGGCCTAGTAGTTAGCTGTGTTCTGTCTCTTTCAAACAAGGTGCAAGATGTATCTGATTAAATCTGTGACTCTTCATTCTTTGTGAATCTTCATTCTAGTGGCCCAAGACTGTTAGCTGCTATTGGCGACTGGGAATTTCAGCTCTTTTCTGTATCAAGTTCTTTGAGCTCAAGCTCCTTGTGTATGTTGAGCGTGCACATATTGATGGATGTTAGATCCATTGTTGTTGCTGTTGATATTTAATTTCATGATAGTTTTTGCAGATGAAAATCACTTCTCTAGAATATGAAGAGGACTTTCTGCAAGGTGAGAAAATAGTGGGAAGCCCTATCCTGTGGTGCACAGGACAAATAAAAACAAATAATTTCTAGGAGTTAAATCTTTGTTCTCCCTGAGGCTCCTTAGGTGCAGTAGTTTATTTTCATTACGTCTCTTGTAAAGGCAGCACCAATATTAACAACGCGAACAAAACAAACTAATGTTTTTGTTTGCTCCCATCTGAAAGTTCCTTAAGGCCCGTAGACTCATTTACGAAAATTCATGTGTGCAAAACTCATTTGCAAAAGCAAATAAAATATGTGATCGCAAATGCTCTTTACCTGACTGGCCTAGGGGACTAGCTGAAAATGCGTTTATGCCTTTATGTTTACTCTATGGCGTGGCTTAGCAGTCGTGGGGCTCCTAACCTCCTCTACAGATGAGTCCCCGTCAAGCCACGTATGTCAGATGACTTGAATGTTTTGAAATTCAGGCATCATTTAGATGGTTGTTAAGTTGCTGTACTGATTTGTGAGTTTTTGTTTGTAAAAAAATATTATTAAATCATTGTGCTCTGTAGCCTTGGAAATGTTTTTGAAGTTCATTCATTACAATGTTCAGCCAAGGAAACATCTCTGTATTTAGTTAAGTTCGGACTTTTCTGTCCCTTTGGGTTTACATATGCTGCTTTCTTTCCTGGTGAAAATTTTGGTTACAAGTGTGACTGAGTGATGATGTCTAGATAAGGGTCAGGAAAACTGAATTGAGAAAATTAGAAAAAAGAAACCCTTATATGTAAATTGTACATAGGAATAATTGGAGGCTACCAGAAAGTTTGTTACAATCCTGAATCTTTGCTTTTTGCATAGTAATTGAAATATATGAGGCAAGACAAATACATACCTGCCAGACTCTCTGAGGCATAACTATTTTTTCCCTAACATTTAAATCTGTGTTTTGCTTTAGGCTGATTGATTGATTTACTCACTTAACAAATATTATTTTTTTGTTTTGTTTTGTTTTGTTTTGAGATAGAGTATCTGTCATCCAAGCTGAGGTGCAGTGGCACGATCTCAGCTCACTGCAACCTCCGCCTCCTGGGTTCAAGCGATTCTCCTGCCTCAGCCTCTCTATTAGCTGGAATTACAGGCACACGCCACCATGCCTGGTTAATTTTTGTATTTTTAGTAGAGACGGGGTTTCACCATGTTGGCCAGGCTGGTCTTGACCCCCTGACCTCAGGTGATCCACCCGCCTCGGCCTCCCAGAGTGCCGGGATTACAGATGTGAGCCACCGTGCCTGGCCTGAACACCTCTGCATTCCAGGCTCCACCCTGGGTAGCAGGGATACAAAAATGAACACAGCAACAAAAATCTCTGCCTTCAAAAACTGTATATCCTAATAGGGAGACACATTTAGCAGAGTAATATTTTGAATATTTTACTTTTTGCTTTTTTGCCCCGGGCATTACTGATAATATTTTATCATAAATTTATTGAGTGTCCTTTATGGTCTGAATCCTGAAGTCTAATTTTATCAAACGCAGGACTCCCAGACTTTTCTTATGAATTCTTGGAAGTCAGTAAATAAAAATTACATTTGCTTTACGGTTAAACCTTAATTAGAATTCATCATCAACTCCATTTACTGTGTGTATATATATAATATATATATAGCTATATATATTATATATGTACTAATACTATGTATTAGTGTGTGTATATACATACATATATATATATATGTATGTATATACACACATATATGTACTGCCCAAGAGGCCACATGTTTTCGTTTTTAAAAAATCTGCTTAGTGGCTGGATACTTTGGCTCACACCTGTAATCCCAGCTCTTTGGGAGGCCGAGGTGGGCGGATCACGAGGTCAGGAGTTCAAGACCAGCCTGGCCAATATGGTGAAACCCTGTCTCTACTAAAAATACAAAAATTAGCCAGGTGTGGTGGCACGCGCCTATAGTCCCAGCTACTCAGGAGGCTGAGGCAGAAGAATTGCTTGAACCTGGGAGGCAGAAGTTGCAGTGAGCTGAGATCGTGCCACTGCACTCCAGCCTGGGTGACAGAGTCAGATTCTGTCTCAAAAAAAAAAAAAAAAAAAATCTGCTTAGCAACTTCCATTTGACATAGGTGGTATGACACACAGGTTGAAAACAAGACCAATCGAATTAAGTGACTTGGGTTTTTAAAAAATTATTCTTCTCTTTACAGAAGTCTCAGCATATTTGAAATGCTGAGACTTCTTGTTGAAACCCAGCAAGCCTGAAAAGCAAAAAGGAGAAACCATTTCAGAGAAATTAAAGCATCAACAACTGGTGTTTATGCAGGAGTCACAAAGTACCCAAACAGCCACATATATCTCAGTTTCATTCAAAACCTGAGAAAGCAAATCAATGGAAGATAATGGAATGGGATTTAAAAAAATGTATATATATATGCACATACATACTGATAATATTCTGGGCATATATATACACTTATATATATTAGTATATATATGCTTATTATATATTATATATTAGTATATATAGCATTCTGGCAATATTCAGAAAAAATATATATATAGTTGTTTTGTTTTGAGATGGGGTCTCTGTCGTCCAGGCTGAGGTACAGTGGCACGATCTCAGCTCACTACAACCTCCGCCTCCTGGGTTCAAGCGATTCTCCTGCCTCAGTCTCTCTAGTAGCTGGAATTATAGGCACACGCCACCATGCCCGGTTAATTTTAGTATTTTTAGTATTTTTGTATTTTTAGTTGATGCAGAATATATATATATATTCTGGCAATATTTTTCCAGTCTCAGAGGCATAAGCCATCTTCTTGAATACTCATTGAGTATTTGGCTGTATATTGTAGACACCTGGATGCAGGTGATACTATTTCATGAAGGTGGTACCAACTAATATAGTACTAGGTAACACTATGGTTACTGGCTAAAAATGAGAGTCATCAATTACTGATTGAAATTTCTACACACCTGGTGTGACACCTCAGTTGTGAGACATGCAACAAATGCTTGATAAGAGTTAATTATAAATTTTGTGATGATGAATTTTTTTTTTAACTTTTACTTTAGGTTTAGGGGTACATGTGAAGGTTTGTTACATAGGTAAACACATGTCATGGGGTTTTGTTGTACATATTATTTCATCACCCAGGTGTTAAGCCTAGTACCCAATAGTTTACTTTCCTGCTCCTCACCCTCCTCTCACCCTCCACCCTCCAGGAGACCCCAGTGTCTGTGGTTTCCTTCTTTGTGTTCATAAGTTCTTATCATTTAGCTCCCACTTACAAGTGAGAACATGCAGTATTTAGTTTTCTGTTCCTTCATTAGTTTGCTAAGGATAATAGCCTCCAGCTCCATCCATGTTGCTGCAAAAGACATTATCTCATTTTTTTATGGCTGCATAGTATTCCATCGTGTATATGTACCACATTTTTCTCATGCAATCTGTCACTGATGGACATGTAGGTTGATTCTGTGTCTTTGCTATTGTAAATAGTGCTGCAGTGAACTTCCGCATGCATGTGTCTTGATGATAGAATGATTTATATTCCTCTGGGTATATACTCAGTAACGGGATTGCTAGGTTGAATGGTAATTCTGCTTTTAGCTCTTTGATGAATGGCCATACTGCTTTCCACAATGGTTGAACTAATTTACACTCCCACCAACAGTGTATAAGTGTTTCCTTTTCTCTGCAACCTTGCCAGCATCTGTTATTTTTTTGACTTTTAAATAATAAACATTCTGACTGGTGTGAGATGGTCTCAGTGTGGTTTTGATTTGCATTTCTCTAATGATCAGTGATGTTGAGCTATTTTTCATATGATTATTGGCTGCATGTATGCCTTCTTTTGAAAATGTTCATGTCCTTTGCTCACTTTTTAATGAGGTTGTTTTTCTCTTCTGTTAGAAACTGCAATTACTTTTGCACCAATTTAATAAATTGGTTTAAGTTCCTTATAGATGCTGGATATTAGACCTTTGTCAGATGCATAGTTTGCAAATATTTTCTCCTATTCTGTAGGTCATCCATTTACTCTGTTGGTAGTTCCTTTTGCTGCGCAGAAGCAGTTAAGTTTAATTAGATCCCACTTGCCAATTTTTGCTTTTGTTGCAATTGCTTTTGGTGTCTTTGTCATGAAATCTTTGCCTGTTCCCATATCCAAGAGGGTACTGCCTAGGTTTTCTTCTAGGGATTTTATAGTGTTGGGTTTTACATTTAGGTCTTTAATGTATCTTGAGTGATGAATTCCTTTAAAAGGTTACATTAGATTAAAAATAAGGTTATTCTTATAATAATGTTAGAATAATGTCAACCTCAGTCTTCTATATTCTTAGGTGCTTTCTTGAATAAGAAGGAAAGGGGATAAATTACAAATAGCTCTCTGGAAATTATGCCAAATTCAGGGTATATTTATTGAGGAGTGCAACAAAGGCATCTGAAAAATCAAGAAGGAACAAGAGACCACTAGCCTTGATGTTCCCATAATCTTTCTTCAAAGGCCCTGTCTAAATCTTTTTTTTTTTAAAGGATTCTGTGGTTTTATTGATTCAACACCATAAGTTACACTTTAGAAATTAAGGTATAGTTTACATACAGTAAAATTATACATATTTTATTATACTTTAAGTTCTGAGATACATATGCAGAACATGCCAATGAGCTGCTAATTTCTAATGAGTTGCAAAGTTGATGCATTTAAGCTCTTCTTTGTTTTCTCCAACCGCCAGGTAGAAATGTCAATCAAGACAGAAACACCAAAGGTGGGGAAGGAAAGAAAAGATGAGAGGGACAGTCTATTCCAGGCAGATAAACATCTCTTGAATAAGTGAGGCATCTCCTGCCCTAAGGAACATGTAATGAAATAAAATAGTAAATGAGTTCATTCTTAACTATTTCTATCAGATTCACCCATTCCCTTACCCAATTCTCTGTTATCTTCTGCTCTGTTTGCTCCTTGCCACTGAGAAAATCCGGCTGTTTTCAAAGAACACAATTGGTGTTGTGATTCAGACAGTCTTGCCATCTTGATGTAAATACTATCAATTGCAGCCTGTCACATCTTCCTCCAATGAATAAGTGAATTGCTTCCCCACACTGAAGTTCTTCTAAAGATAACACAAGCTGAGAAACTGCATCTCATATTATGAATTCTAGCAGCAAGGACTCCAGGAGGCAGCCAGGATATAGCATCACAACAGAGTATTTTCCAATTCCCCTAATTAAAAAAAATGTGTAAGAAAAATAGCTTGCTGTTGGACCGCTGGAGGAGAAGATCAAATAATAGTTAAACAAAATGAAATCATTGTTGCTTATTCATCTGGCTGTAGAAAGAACTTCCAAAATTTCAGTCTCAGTGGGGTATATGTCCCTGAATTTCTGAGTCAAAAATGTGTTTGTTAAACAACTTCAGTCTAATAAGCTCAGGACTCACACAAAATAACTGTATCTATACCTGCCCTCAATTAGATTTGTCTATGCACTTTCCACTCCTTCTTCTCTGCAGGCACAAGGCTGGTTTTTCAGAATCATCTCCTTTTCTCTAGGAAGAGTGGGGTTTAACCATACAGGCAGACAGATGCCTCCCACAGCCTTCAATATTCTCAAAGAAAGTTCTTAGTCATCTCTGAGTAACATAATCCACCAGAGAGTTTTCCCTGTTTTCAAGTTGACATCCCCATGGTGACCATCTTAGCTTCTTTCTAGTACTGCCGTCGCTGAACACTGGTTCCATATCGATGCTCATACAATCTTAGTTTGCCATTCTTTGACAAGAAGGCAGAATCTACAGTGAATGGAAACTACTGAAAGTCCCATTTGTTTTTCTCCAGTAAATTAAGAACCTGTGAATTATAATTTTGGTGGTTGTTGAGAATGCTGTAATCCTAACAAATTCCATATAAATGCAGGAGACTTTCTAGATATCCAATTATAATATTTACATATAATTAGTCTGTTGAGGAGTATTATCTTGTAGCAACATAAAATGGTTTTATTTTTCCCACTCTTTACTTTCAACTGTATTGAGTTGAATTCTACTTTCCTGCTGGGAAGCAAGTTCCTTAGCAACATCTAATTTCCTGTCATTTTCAATTATTAGTATAGTCTCATTTGGGTATTTAAGACCTGGTCTTTTTCATTTAAAAAATATTAATCTCAAACTTGATTCAAAGTGTATCCTCCCTCTCCCGCAGTTATTTGGAGTGAATGTGTGTGGATGTGCATGTGTTTTTTGGGGAGTTCTCTGGTTCTGAGACACTTTTCCTTCCCTTCTCTAAGACCTATTTCTTCTAGAGTTGGGGGCTGCGAGGAGGGAGGGAGGAGGCTGAGGCCCTTTTACATGCTTGCTGGAATGTCAGTGGTGAGTAGGTCTCAGGCCACACTCACCCTGGTTCTGACAAATCCCTTTCGATAGAGTGTTCTCTGCTGAAATGGTGTTAGGCATAGTTTTCCTGGGGGAGACCACTCCCTCACCTCCACAGCTGCAGAAATGTGCTCTGCCTCCCTTGGCCTTGTCAGTGACATACCATAGCTGGGGCAGCCCTCAGAGCTTCTTCATGACGGTGATGGGGACCACTGTGGTGTCTTCTGCCTCCTGAGAACTGAGCAGAACTGGATGGCGTGGGACTTTTCCATCTTTCTCGCAGGCACACCACATTGGGTCCCACATAAATGTCTAGACTTTGCTGGGCATTAGACTTCATGTTCACGTGAACCTCAAATTTCAGAGGACGTATGTCCAGGCTCCCCGTGGTACACCATCCTCCCAGGCCTCCAGACACTCTCCCAGGGACTGTCGGTCCCCTGCTCTGAAGTGGTGGCAGCACCTGGAGGCCTGGATCCTGCTGCCCAGTAAGGGTCCGGTTGGGAAAGAAAGTGCCCTACTCCACTTCTCGCAGGTGCGCTCTCAGGGAGCAGCCTGCTGTCTTGACTTTGAGAGGAGGAAAGAAACTGCCCTTTCCCTCAAACACTGACCTCCTCACAATGCTGAGCATCTCTGATTCCCTAGTAGGCTGGTGGATGAGGTCTGGGGAGAGTGTGGTACAGGTGGTACAGGAGGAATTTGTTGGTGATAGGGCCATTTGTGCTGCCTCTCACCAAGCCCTGTAAGGAGATGGTTGGCTTCAGCTGCTGGGGAATTTCTCTAGAATGTGGAGTCCTTACGTAACTTTAGTTTTGGACCAGAGCGTAGTTGTAGGATGTTGGAATATGACTTCTGTTATATATATACATTACAACATAGGCCCATAGAAAGATGCATAACGGGCCGGAAGCGGCTGGCTCACGCCTGTAATCCCAGCACTTTGGGAGGCCGAGGCGGGCGGATCACGAGGTCAGGAGATCGAGATCATCTTGGCTAACACGGTGAAACCCCATCTCTACTAAAAATACAAAAAATTAGCCGGGCGTGGTGGCGGGCGCCTGTAGTCCCAGCTACCCCGGAGGCTGAGGCAGGAGAATGGCGTGAACCCGGGAGGCGGAGCTTGCAGTGAGCCGGGATTACACCACTGCACTCCAGCCTGGGCGACAGGGCAAGACTCCATCTCAAAAAAGAAAGAAAGATACATAATGATATACAAGGATATATCGAAGGCCTTGAAAAGACCAGGGCACCCCTCTGGCTCCCTTCTCATACGTGATTTACAAAAAACCCACTAACCCATAACAAATTCAAAGAAATACAACACATTCTGATTTTCCTCATGACTATGATTTTTTTCTCAAATGTCAAATTTCAAAGTCCTAAAAAAATGTGAGTGCCCTGCATTCCTGGTGCCCCAAACACATGTTTGTTTTGTTGAGGAGCCAGGTAAAACCTCACAGTCTTACTGGGAAGGTTAAATGAGTGAATAAAGATGAAAGTACTCTTTGTGATCTACAAATATATCCTACTATGACATATAATTGTATATGAGATTTTCTACATATGAATACACATACCTATAAACCTTATTTTAGTTTGGTATGTGAAAAATAAGTTGGGATGTGAAAAATCAATTTTACTCCATCAGTCTGGAGTACAATTTTTCATTTAATTTGTGTATACTAATCCATTAAGATTACAGCCAGTCTTCAGCTAGACTGACTAGGTTTTAAGCCTGAATCCATGATTTTAGACAAGCAGCTTAATTTCTCTGAGCCTCACTTTCCTCATCCATAAAATGGAGATAATAACAGTATCTACCTCATGGAATTGTGAGAATCAAATGGGCCAATTCATATAAAAACACTTAACCTTAAACATATGCCTGGCACATAGTAAGCTCTCAAATATCAGCTGTTACTGTATGCTTGTATTAACTACATAGAAAAATGGAAAATTTCTGATTTTTTCTGTATTTTGGATATTTTCAACAGAAACGAAGTAGATAAAACTAGTATTTACTTTGAGATCAAATTGATTTTTAAATATTTACCTTAAAGAGTTACCTGGGGTGTGGGGTTAGAGTGGTATGAGAAATCTGTTGATATGACCGGAGGCCGACTTACTTGGGTTTAGGGTAGGAGCAGTGCATTGCACCGGTTTTTAACTCAAAGAGCAGGACAAGTTATCCAGGAGAGACAAACAGAACAGTTGACAACATACATGACCACTCATATTCCCAAGACTGCGAGGCTGGAAGTTCATTATTAAGTAACAGACCTGTATAACAATTTCTTCCTATCCTAATTTACACTTGATCTCATTCTGCCTGTTGAATATTCAGGTCCCCTCTGAAGTGCTGCATGTTTGCAGATTGATGTTGAAGGGAAAATTTTGACCTAACGATTCTTCTCAAGTGGCTTCTCAATATTTCCTTTATTGTCTCAGCCTCATTGCTTTCCTACCTTCTGATCATGCACAGCCCTTATTAGCTTTACTGGCTTACCCAACTCAAACAGATTTAGTTGAATTTTCTGGAACCAGAGGCAGACCATTTATATACTTATTTCCTTACATCTTTTCTATTTTTGTCTTTTCATTTCAAGCTTTCATTCTAAATTCATCACAGGTGTGAGGTCTTAGAAGCCTTGATCTTCCCAGCAAATATTTGCCAGGTTGTAATTTTTTATTTGTTATCAACAGCCAAATTTAAACAAGGCTAATCTTGCTCTAATTTGGTTTGTGGAAGACCTAGTCTTGGTATTCAGAGAAAGCAAATGTGAATTTCTGTTTTTTTCTTCAGTATGTGTTATTCCCTTATCCCTCATGTACTGCAATTAATTTTTTTTAAACAAAAATAATTTGGGGGCAGGAGAAACTCCATTTGGACCTGAACTTTAAACAGAAACTATTTTGCCGAGAACACTGAAATATGTAGAGGGTTGGGGAGGAGGAAGGCAGCTAGGGGATCTGTTTGATAGCCTATTCTTGTTATAGTCCTCTATCTCATTTTTCTCTACCTCAGGGGTGCTACTGAATGATCCTAGCTCATTGAAGATGCCCCTCTCACTGCAGCAACCCTGAGTGACAGTTGCTGTCTATGCATGGGTTCCTGTAGTGACCACCTGCTACAGGCTGGATTTGTAGATTGCAGGGGCACAACTCCTAGTTTTACGTGCATATGTTTGGACTTCCATATGTTGTACGTGTATATTTGCTAATTGCAGAGGCAGAATTTCTGACACATGGCCAGGGTGGGAAGTGAGGGCGTGCTGCAGGTGGCTGTTGAGTATGTCATGAGAGGTTTTCTCAAATCCTGAGTTTCAGAATAGGTATCTTAATCAGAGGCTAAATTCAGATTTGGGTCCCTCAAGCAATAGCTTACAAAAGCACATGTTTGTATTCTCCTCCTTCTACCCATCCCTGGTTGCAGCACGAGGTATATTCCTTGCCTGTGGCTGCTGGCTGCTATTATATTAGAGCACCAGTTTCTCCTGACTTTCTTTTTGTCGGAACCTGCAGGTCTTTACCTGGCCAAGAAGTCTCAACTCAAGTTGTGCCTCCTCCAGGAAGCTCTCTCTGACTACTTCAGTCCAGCACGGTGTCTCAATATTCTAAACCAGTCACTAGTACACTACTGTTTATGGGCCAAATAAAGACAATTTTTATTAAAATACACCTATATCCATTTGTTATTGTGCATGGTTGCTTTTGAGATATAGTGGCAGAATTGAACAGTTGTGACAGAGACCATATGACCCACAAGCCTAAAATATTTACTTTTTGGCTCTTTACAGAAAAAGTTTGCTGACCTCATCCTAAATTGAGGGGGCTTAATGTGTGTATCTTTCAGCATGACCTGCAATGAATGCTCCTTATTTTTTGGTTTGCAAAACTTTCACTTTTAAATTCAGCATAGTCTTTCAGTATCTCCCAGACATTTTGGACACTGAACAAATAATCTCAAAATTACACTTGAAGATTGGAGTGAGTCTGGGCAAGGGACAAAAAGAACCCATAAAGCAATTTTATTTTTAAGAGAGAAAACATTTATTACTGTTGTTAGGTGTTTGCAGAAAATGCTCTCAGAGAATAGTTTTGTACCTAAACCAGTTCCTTCCAACCCGTAACTATTACTTGTTACTGACCTCAGTTTAAGAACATAAATCTTATCACATTTCTCTAAGGATGCATGAAGATATAACTGAATTAAAAAATAATTTATATGGAAATTCAAATACACATGCACAACATTAGAAGGTTAGCATTTGCTTTAAAAAATAATACTTAATGGGATCCTTTCAGACGCTCATGTGCTCCACTTTGCCAGGGTCTGACTTGTGATAGGTATTGAGGTGAGAAAATACTTAACTCAGTGATTCAAAGTTAGATTCATTTAGTTTCTTCTCTCCTGCCTAGTGGTCAGCCCATTCCCAGGGTGGAGTATACTGAAGAAGAAACTAAAACTTGGGGTGTTGTATTCCGGGAGCTCTCCAAACTCTATCCCACTCATGCTTGCCGAGAGTATTTGAAAAACTTCCCTCTGCTGACTAAATACTGTGGCTACAGAGAGGACAATGTGCCTCAACTCGAAGATGTCTCCATGTTTCTGAAAGGTAAGATTTCACACAGGCTGTCTCTTATTAGTCAATATCCTCAATTGCCTTCCAAGGACACAGGTTGCAGCAATGGCTCTTTTTCCAAAAAAGGAAAAACAGTGATTTAAAAAATTGTTGGCTTTGAGCCAACAATTACCTGCGGCCACCTGTGGGAAGCAGAGCAAGGGACTCAGCTGCTTTTGCAGCTCAGGAGCTTGCTGAGGCCTCTTTGTGGCTGGTTGTTGTAAATGGTAAGGCCCAAAGGATATTTGCAAGTTCAGCTCTGAGCTTTTTCTGATCCAGGAGCTGCTGTGCTGGGCTACATGAGTATGAAATGACCTCCAAAAGTGCCTTTTTATTTGCTTTGTTAAAAAGTATGTACTGAATGATGATATTTTATGGATAATGTTGAATATTAGTGACTTTCCTCTAGGAGAAATCAGGCAACTGTCAGAGACGTTTGGACCAGAGCAACTCCTTCTTGAATAGGGGCTGGGTAGAATCAGGCTGAGACTTATTGGGCTGCATTCACAGGAGGTAAGGCATTCTAAGTCACAGGATGAGATAGGAGGTCAGCACAAGATACAGGTCATAAAGACCTTGCTGATAAAACAGGTTGCAGTCAAGAAGCCAGCCAAAACCTATCAAAACCAAGATGACGATGAGAGTGACCTCTGGTCATTCTCACTCCTCGTTATACACTAATCATAAGGCATTGGCATGCTAAAAGACCCTCCCACCAGTGCCGTGACAGTTTACAGATGCCATGGCAATGTCGGGAAATTACCCTATATAGCCTAAAAAGGGGAGGAACCCTCAGTTCTGGGAATTGCCCACCCCTTTCCTAGAAAACTCATGAATAATCCATTCCTTGTTTAGCATATAATCAAGAAGTAACCATAAAAATGGGCAACCAGCGATCCATTCCACAGCTCTGCCTATAGAGTAATCATTCTTTTATTCCTTGACTTTCTTAATAAACTTGCTTTCACTTTACGGACTCACTCACTTTGAATTCTTTGCGTGAGATCCAAGAATCCTCACTTGGGGTCTGGAATGGGACCCCTTTCTGGTCACACAACTAGTCAATAAATCAATCAACTAATTGATCAATACTTTACATTATAATTTGTGTGTCAGGGATTGTACTTGTTGCTGATGTTACACTAGTGAACCCAATGAATCATACAGTGACATCATTTCACACTCTCTGTGGGTCCCTTCACTGACAACACCTCCTTGGAACAATAGCTGGGAAATAGGCTTGTGAGGGGTTGGGGGAAGAGGCAAAGTTTCACGGTGGTCCCGCTTTCTCCTCTGTTTTTCCTTGTGCTTAAGTCCTTGGATTCTCTGCCCTTTTCTCTCTCTTCTTTCAAGTGCAGTAGTTCCAAAAGCAAAAACTTCATTGCCTGCTCTCTTTCCTGGAACTTGCTTTCTTGCTTGTCTTCTCAGTTTCTATCAGTACTGTTTTTTCTAAACTCATCAGGCTTGCCTCTAAGGACTCCCCTGAATTCCTACCCACTTTATCCCCCAATCCCATACTCAGTCCTTCTTTGTGTTAGTGTCCAATTATAGCTGTAACAACACATTACCACAAACTTTGTGACTTAAAACAACACGAGTTATCTCACAGCTCTGGAGCTAAGAAGTCTAAAATCAGGGTGTTGACAGGGCTCATTCCTTCTGGTGGCTTCTGTGCCCTGGCCTTTCCCAGCTTCTAGAGTCCTCCTGCATTCCTTGGCTCGTGGACTCTTCTTTGCATCACTCCAACCTCTTGCTTCCATTGTCACATCTCCTTCTCTGACTCTGACCCTTCTGCCTCCCTCTGATAAGGACTCTTATGATTATATTGGCCCCACCCGAATTATCTAGGACAGTCTCTCCATCTCAAGATCCTTAAGTTAATAACATCTGCAAAGTCTCTTTTGCCATGTAAGGTCACATACTCACAGATTCAGGAGATTAAGACATAGGCATCCTTGGGGGGCCATTACTTAGCCTACCACAATCTCCCCCTATTGCCACTTATGGCTTCATGACATGTGGTAAATCTGTCCTTTTCCTTTCTGTTCTACTGCTATCATCCAAATTGATGTCCTCATCATTTTATAACCTTGATGCCTATATTTTCTTCCCTTAACTCTCCTGCCCACTGCCCATAGATGTTACTTTCTAAAATATTACTTTTTTTTCTGACATCTCTGCTCAGAAACTATCATTGGCTCCCTCTTGTTTTCACTGGGACTGGCAAATTTTTTTTGTAAAAGGCCAGTTGGTAAATATTTTAGGCTTTTCGGGCCAAGAGGCAAAATCAAGGCTATTATATAGGTACTTTTATAGCCATTTTAATGTGTCTATTAAAAATATAAAAACTGGCTAGGCACAGTGGCTCACACCTCAGCACATGGGGAGGCCAAGGCAGGCGGATCACTTGAGGTCAGGAGTTCGAGACCAGCCTGGCCAACATGGTGAAACCCTGTCTACTGAAAATACAAAAATTGGCTGGGCGTGGTGGTGGGCGCCTGCAGTCCTAGCTACTTGTGGGGCTGAGGCATGAGAATCACTTGAACTTGGGAGGCAGAAGATGTAGTGAGCTGAGATCACGCCACTGCACTCCAGCCTGGGTGACAGAGTGGGACTCTGTCTCAAAACAAACAAATGAACAAACAAACAAAACTATTCTCACTGTTGGGGTGTACAAAAACAGGCAGTGGGCTGGATTTGGCCTCCAGGTGATAGTTTGCTGATCTCTGTTTTACACGCTCAAGTCTGAACAGCTCAGCCTCAATGTGAGGCCCTGACCCAGGTTTCCAAGTTAGTTTCCTGCTGCAACTGCCCTGTACAAATCCTCTGCCCTTGCTGTGGGCTCTCTTTACCGTTGCTTAAACTCTGTTCCTTACTAGAAAATTTCATCTCTTCTCCACCTACTCAAATTCTACCTATTCTTCAGGACTCAGAGCAAGTCCTGCCTCCTTCATGAATCTTGATTATAGAAGCCACCATGATCTCTCCCACTCTGATTTCATTCTATGTTATGTGTGAACATCATCTACTATATTTGTTACTGAGGAAAAGAGATTGAGAACTACCGATCAGTATCACTTAATTAGCACCTAATTACCTCATGCCTTATGTTGTTAACTAGACTGTATTCTCCTGTCATCTTCTTCTTTGTGTCCCACAGAGCTATATGCATATTACCTCTTTACCAAGAGCTCCTTATATCGAGATGGCTTTTTACTGCATTGTTCCCCAAACCCCAATAGTTAGAATATCACCTCATAAATACTGTTGTATTTGCCCCCCAAATTAATATTCTTATGAGAGGCAGTATGGTATAGTGGCTTGGACCATAGACCCTGGATGTAGAATGTCAGGGCTTGAGTCCCCACTCTGCCCCTTCCTAGCTATGTGACCTTAGAAGAGTCACCTTAACCTTTCTGTGTCTCTGTTTCCTCCTCTGTCAATGGAGATAGTAATTTTATCTACCTCACAAGGTGGTTGAGAGGAGAAATTAATTGATATACCTTAAAGGCCTAATGTGCCTAACACACATTAAGCATAGCAGAGTCTTAGCTATTTCCTTTGTTATTGTTTTCCACAACCCTTGGTGAACTGGATATATCGCCTAGTTTGTATCACGCACTGGCATGTAGATAGTATGATGTAAGTATAGGTGTCCTTATATCATTTCATTGACTCACTTTTAAAATACCTAATTTATTTAAAACAGAAACTTTTAAAGCAATGGTATCTACAGATTCAAAGTTCTTGATGTCATGGTTTTATATTTTTTCTAATTCACATAAAAATAAAATACATAACTATTAAAAAAAATGTTCCTCTGTGTACTGTTACATATGTCCCACATGTGGGATATACTGGCTTAATTGATGTAATATGGAAAAAGAAGAAAATACACTTATCTTTTTGATATTCACCGGGGAATAATCCAAAGTGAAGGCTTTTGGAATGAACATAGTGCTGTGCGAATTATGGGTCTGAGGAGGCCTGAGAACAGGTTATTTCCAGCAGGTACCAGAAATCCCAGGATGGGCCTGTTTTATAAGCTTAGTTGGTTCTTGCCTCTTAAGATCATTTTCAACCATTGTGTGGTACTCTCCTAATGCGTTAAAGGAATAGCCTTCCAGGACGTTATGCTAAATGAAATAAGCCAGACACAGAAAGAAAAATACTGCATTATCTCATATGTGGAATTTGGAAAAGTTAAATACACAGAAGCGAAGAATAGAACAGTGGTTACAAGGGGCAGGAGGTGGAGTAAGTGGGGAGATATTGGTCAAAGAGTACAAAGTTGCAGTTAGATAGGATGAATAAGTCTAGAGGTCTTTTTTTATAATTATTATTTTTTAGATAAGAGTCTTGCTCTGTTGCCCAAGCTGGGGTGCAGTGGCGTAAGCTCGGCTCACTGCAACCTCCACCTCCTAGGCTCAAGCGATTCTTGTGCCTCACCTGTATTCCCCGAGTAGCTGGGACTACAGGTGCGTGCTGTCTATGCCAGCTCATTTTTTTATTTTTAGTAGATAAAAAGTTTTGCCATGTTGCCCAGGTTGGTCTCGAAGTCCTGGCTTCAAACCATCCACCCACCTTGGCCTCCTAAAGTACTGGTATTACAGGTGTGAGCCACAGTGCCTGGTAATCTAGAGATTTAATGAACTGCATGAGGACTGTAGTTAATAATATCATATTACATAAGGGAAATTTGTTACTAAATTTTATGTGCTCTTACTACACACACACACACACACACACAGACACACGCACACGCATGTGCACATATAACTATATGAGAAGAAAGATATATTAATGAACTTGAATGTAGTAATCATTTCACTATTACAGTAAATCCTCACTTAACGTCATCGATAGGTTCTTGAAACCTGTGGCTTAAAGTGAAACGATGTATAACAAAACCAATTTTTCCCCTCATCAACATTATGACAATACAATGTTGAAGGAAATGATGTTATTCTGGGCACTGCTTTATGTCATTCACTTAAAGTCGCAATTTTCAAGAACCTATCGACGATGTTGAGGACTCATTGTATGTGTGTATCAAAACATAAAGTTATACACCTTAAATATATACAATTTATATTAAAAAACAGAACTGCTCTTGTGAGAAAAGAACAGAACATAAAGCAGCCATTTAAAAATAGTCATGTGCTACATATATACTGTTCGGTCAACAATGGACCTCATGCATAGTGGTGATCTTATCAGATTATAATACTGTATTTTCACTGTACCTTTTCTATGGTTAGATATGTTTAGAGACACAAATACTTACTAATGTGTTACAATTGCCTACAGTATTCAGTATAGTAATGTGTTGTACAGATTTGTAGCCTAGGAGTAGGCTGTACCATCTAGGTTTGTGTGAGTACACTCTATGAGATTTACACAACAAAATCACCTAACAATGCATTTCCTAGAATGTATCCCCATTGTTAAGCAATGCACGACTCTATACAACATTTTAATAAAATGCATATTTAAAAAAAAAAAAAGAATAGTCCTTCTGCTCTAAGTTTTCTGGGCCTTCCTGAGAAGAAAACATTAAGTAGCCCTTAGACTGAGAACACTGATGACTCACAACCTAATTGAATTAGTGGTATAGGGCAGGTTTATAGACTTTATTGCATTCTTACTTTGTTTCCTCTTACCATAAGCCAATAGAGCAAGCAGGGCTTTGGTGTACCTCTTCAAATCATGATAATTTATATAACATCACAGAAAACAATATAGAGTGAAGGAGTTAGCGGGTATTGGCAATAGAAAGCCTCAGTATGAACTGATTTGAAGATGCTAGTGAAGGGGGTGCTTAGCTGTGTGTCACTGAACACATGCACACAGAAGAGATCCCTAGGTATGTCTCTTAGAAAGATACCAGGTAATGTGCGGTAAGCATCACTTTCGATTGTAATCAATTTATCTGAGATTTCTTATCCTAATTGGGCTTCTGAATTTAAATCTCTAAATACTTTTTTCACCCTTCTTTTCATTTTCTTGAATGTTTTGTTCTCCTGGAAACCGTCATTTGAGAGTGATTTTAGTCATCAGAAGCACCAAACATGATAGCTGTTAACAGTATATGTCACTCAGTTGTCAAGAGGTTTATGACCTTGATTACTTTGTTTCTGGATCTTCCTTATAAATAGTAGAAGCTCCTGCTTGGGCCCTCAAGTCTTGCTGGGTTAATATTTAGTTGGCTTTTTCTGTTGCCTTTTTAGAAAGGTCTGGCTTCACGGTGAGGCCGGTGGCTGGATACCTGAGCCCACGAGACTTTCTGGCAGGACTGGCCTACAGAGTGTTCCACTGTACCCAGTACATCCGGCATGGCTCAGATCCCCTCTACACCCCAGAACCGTGAGTACCTACATTAAAGCCCAGGCCACCACACCATAAAGTGGTCAATGATCCCTTTACTTGAAAATGACTTAGGCCCTGTTTTACCTCCAAACTAATTTCCTTGAGCTAGTGAGAGTCACATCACTCACCTAAAGAGAAAAGGGCTCACTGAAGGATCAGACTCCTCATCTGGGTCCGTGGGGGCCCCTGATATTCCAGCTCTGGCTCGATGCTCTAGCTTTATCCCAACACTGAGCCATCTGCTTGGCCAGATCTCCATTTCTGATGATGAAGAGAAGGCACAGAAGTGTAAAGTAGACACTGACACATGGTCAGAACATGTGAGGCTCTCTCATTAGGAGGCCTCTTTCATGTGAAGGAGGTTCATGTACACACACCATAGCAACTCATTACTAATCCCCTCTCATCTCTTTCGTCACCTCCAAACTCAGAACTCTGTGCTTTGCTCTCCCTGCCATTTTAGTTTCTTGAACACTTCTCTAGTCCTGCCCGCCACCTCCAGATATAGATGAGGTTTGTGATTCTTCTCTGATTCTGTCAGTTTTCCTTTGGGGCTTTTATCCATTCTCTCCTGGACAATGGGTAAGCTAGGAGTGGGGAGAGAAGCTAAGAGGTGATGCTATACTGCTCTGACATGGGTAAGAAGCAGGAGTAAGCTGGGAACACCCACATGTTAATCATTTGGCCTAATCACACGTGGGATTGTACAGTCTCCAAGTGTGAAATGCCCTGTATCATATTTCTTTGAGTGCTTTAAAATATGTAACAAGCATTTACTGGGAGACAACTACATGCTTGGATTGTCTGGGAATGAGACAGCATTCCTGCCCTTCCAGGTGAATGGTGAAGACAATGGTTAGCATACAGACAGACAGACAGACAGACAGGGAATATGGTGTCAGGTGTAAGTGCTTCCATGAAGTGCTAATAAGTGCTGTGAAGACAAATAGAGCATGGCAAGGAGATGGAGAGTCCTGGGTGCTGTTTTTTGGATTGGGTCAGGACAGCTTCTTGGTAAACATCTGAGCAAAGACTTGAATGTGTATATGATGGGGTGGAGAATTTCAGGCTGAAAGAACAGCAAAAACAAAGACCCTGAGGCTGGGAGCTCTGGGTTCTTTTGCCTTCCTGGGCTCCATTAAAATGAGTGCCTTGCTTTAATCTTACCCCACTGTTCTTCAGGCCACTCAGGGTATCGCTTTGCTTATGATGCTGCTTTACTTGAATGCACTTGTGGTTAATGGGTTGCCATGGTCTTCGCTGGGGAGCAGAGAAGCTTTTGAGGTTCAAGCAGTTAAGTAGCTGATGGTAGTAGGAGTGAGCAAGGGTAAGTCAAGTCCCTGAAGCACCCCTCATTTTCCTAGGCTGGCATAAGGCTCACAGTCCAGGTAGGTCCCTGTCAGGTCACTACATTTTTTTTTTTAAGCTTTTTTCAGCTTCCCTGAAAGTGTTTTCAGGGTAAACAGAGGTTACTTATAGGACCCCAGACATTTGGAAAAGAAATGCTTCTTTCAGTGGAGTGAGTGCTCAAAGAAGCACTGTCAGAGTTAGAAAGGCAATCTCTAAATCTAGCCCAGAGGGTTTACCAATGGCCTTGTTTACAAATAGAAGGCACTTTGTTAGTTCCCTTTGAATAACTGGCCCTCCTGAGACCTGTGACAGCGTGCCAATAGGTATGCAGAGAGAGAGAGAGAGGCAAAGAAATGAGATTTTAGCCACAGAGGATAATGTGTTACATTTTTACCAAAGTACTTTCGGCCAATTCACTCAGCAAACATTTATGTGCAATGCTAGCAGGGCAGTGCAGTGGATTCAGAGATAAATAAAATATAGTAGCTTTAAAAAAAATTTTTTTTAAAGCAGTTCACATTCTGGCAGCAGAGATAGAAAAACAAATAATTAGGAAATAGTGTGGTTAGGGTTATAATTAGTGTGTGTAAAAAGTGCTGGAGAGCACAGAGGAAGGCACAGTCCTGAAAGGCTTTTCAGAGAACGTATAACCTGTGTGGGAGTCTGGAAGGATGAGCAGAAATTTCATTTTTGTACAAGGCTGGACGGGGAGGGAAGGGGAGGCTTTGCAAGTCAGGGGAAACAGCAAGTGCAAAGTTGTGGAGACACGCAAGAGGCATACATGTGCAAGGCTTGTTAGACCAGAATAGCCAGGATACAGTTTATGTATTAGGGGTGAAATGTATCTTCAGGCCATGTTATAAATGACCATTTGTCAAACTAGGACATTTGGACTTAGTTCTGTAGGCAACAGGGAGCTATCCAAGGTTCTTAGGCATAGTCAGGTAAGTGTATTGGAGAAAAATGACTGGGGGTGAGGGCTGGGGAATTGTTGAGAATGAACAACACAGAAAACCAGCTAGGGAGCTCACATTCTATGAAGGAATATAGTTCAAAAGGTGTGGAGCTAGATGAGGTCAGAGGTATAGTACAAGAGGGCACCTATTTAATGCCCTCTTAACACCATAGAGATGGAAGTAACAATATCCAGTGACTACAATAGGGGTGAGACGAGGGGAGGGCCCCTAAGGTAGGGCTAAGGTTTTTGTTTGGGAAGCTGAGTGGAAAGTCATTTCTAATAATGACTGAGAATATTGGAGGAGGATCAAGCTTGGAGGGAAGAGAAAAGGAAAGAGGGAGGGAAGAGGAGGATTTGGGTTTGGGGTATTTTGTCTGTGAGGTGCCCATGGCTGGAACCTCCAGATGGAGAAGTTTCTGGTAGTTACAAATAAAGATTATAAACTCAGAAGTGAATGTAAAGCACCCACAATAGATTTGAGTAGTTATTTTTCTTCCAAGTCTCCTATGACTACACAGATAAGAGGAGACTAAGTCAGAGGATGGAAACTTGGGATTCACTCACTTGGGGTTGTTTTTACAAGCCCTTTATTTTTTGTGGGTTTCATATCATTCGTATTTTTTTTTTTTTTTTTAGACAGAGTCTCACTCTGTCAGGTGTAGTGGTGCAATCTCAGCTCACGGCAACCTCTGCCTCCTGGATTCAAGCAATTCTCCTGCCTCAGCCTCCTCAGTAGCTGGGGTTACAGGCGTGCAACACCATACCCAGCTAATTTTTTGTGTTTTTAGTAGAGACGGGGTTTTGCTATATTGGCCAGGCTGGTCTTGAACTCCTGACCTCAGGTGATCCATCTGCCTCGACCTCCTAAAGTGCTGGGATTACAGGCCATTCATTTGGTTTTTAAAATTATTACTTTATGAATAGGTAATACATATGCATAATTCAGAATTTAAAGTTCACTAAAAGGTATATACTGTGAACAGTGAGTTTCTTTCCATCCTCTGCCCCCTTGATACCCAGTGCATCCTCTCCAGAGGCAACCACTGCTACTAGTTTCCATTTCATCCTTCCAGAAATATACTATGCAGACAAAATTCTCTGTAAAGATCTTTTTAATCCTTGTATATTGCAAAGTCCTAAGTCCCTTCTCAGCCACATAATTTGAATCTATGGGTACTATACTGGGAGGGCTGTTTCCTGCCCAAGCACTTTCACAGGCGTTGTCTTTGTAATGAAATCCCATTTCCTCAATTGAAAACCAACTAGAGGGCAGATTCTCCAATTTATGAAGTTCAACTTCTCTACTGTGTTTGCTGCTTGTACTGTGTTTCCAAATAACTGCTTTCAGTTGCTGAACTGTTGTAGTGGAGGCTGCGCTAATGAGACAAAGGTGAGCACTGAAGACCCAGGTAGAAATGAGCATGAAGCAACAAAAAATACATTATCTGAAAAAAGAATTTTATTTTCCCTTTCAGTCTGGTAGAATGTATTTTGCCATCAGAGCTTTCAACACACATTGGATTTTAAACATATCTTTGACTTCTTTTTACATTTTACAGTTTTAAAGACTCTGGCTTCTCTAAACCTGATACACTAGAAACCAAACCTTGCCTTCACACAATATATTCCTGTAACAAATCTGCACATGGACTCCCTGAATCTATAAAAATAAAAAAAAAAAAGTGATGGCAGATTAGACTGGTTTCCTGGGGGAAAGTTTTCTGGCCTGGAAGACAATAAAGAACCCCTGGCAAATTAGTGACTTCTGGTTTTCCTGGTGGGAGGAGTTGCTTTTCTATGCATTAATGCCTGGATTGAAAGGTCACTGATCTGCTAGAAGAGGAAATGGACTCTTGCTTTTTCTCCCTTTGAGCAGTGCCTGAGGCAATGAATCTGCATTTCGGTATTGCCTGGCTCCATGCTTTGATCAGCTGTGGTTGCAATGTTCTTACTAATTGGGTAATGAAGTTTGCAAATGATTTCCTTTAAAAAAAATCAATTGGGCCAAATTCAAAGTTATTCCAATAAACCTTCCCTCTCACTCACTGGAATGAGAGGGAAAGATGCAGAGTTCCAAGTTATGTAGGCATGTGAGCGTCGCCTGGCATGTGTACAGTGGCAGAACAAAATCTTGAGAAGTTCTAAATCTCCCTGATCTCCTTTTTGTCTCTCTGGGAAGTCCATTGTGTGCTCTCTCATGCTATGCCCTCCGTCCACCTCATCTTTTAGAACAGGGTTACTTGCAGATCCTAGGCAGAGAGGGTGCAGTGTATCAGGAAAGCAGTCCTCCTTCAACCCTGGGTCCTGTGGATCAGGAATGGAGAGTCAGGCAGAGAGAGAAAGAGAGAGAGAGAGAGACAGACAGACAGACACACACAGAGAGAGAGAGACAGAGAGAGAGAGAGAAAGAGAGAGATAGCACAAACCCTGGCAACTAGCAGTGTGTGGGCCCCTTAAGGTTCATGGTGAGATGTCTCAGTGGTCTGTTTAAAAGGCAAAGTGAGAGCCCAGTCTGCAAGGTAGGAACGATAACTCACAGTTCTTATCACTGGCGGCTAGCTTGGGCCATATGGGTGTGGTGTTCTATTTCTAATGCCAAAGCAGCACCCTTTGCTGTGTTGTTCCCATTCCACACATCTCTTCTTTTCTGCCGGCATCACTTTTCAAATCAAAGAGCAAACTTTCAGCATTGAGGAATAATTCAGGGCACAAGTGACTAATATTGCAACTTATATTGCCATAATACAATGAAATACATTTGTATTAAGGAACATCTTTTTTGTTGCAGTTGACCAGTTTAGTGGCAATTAATGTTATTTTTAAATATAACTGTTTAAAGGCTTTGCAGTCAGGTGATTTTTCTTATAATTGCCGCTGTTTAATTTTATAAGAAAAATAAAAGTGAATTATTTCTGACACATTTTTCATCCGTTTCTAAGTAAAGTAAATGAATTTTTTGCTTATTAGGAAAGCTTGGTTGCTCCTCTCTTGATTGAACAGATGTCTCTCACTAGGTCCATAATGAGAGGAAAAATATGAATTTTTTCTTTCCCAACTTTTCCTCCTTGTTCCCACTCGAGAGGTTCTGGGACTTGGGCCCTGGCTGTTGTTGGTGTTTTTAATATCAGGCCTTGCTGAAGTCTTCTCAGCATGGTCTTCCTGCAGAGCTGGGAGGATAAACCAGAGCTTTACGGAGTTTAACCTGCATGCCCACGAGCTGTGTTTAGCTTAAACTTGTTCTTTCCCATGGGACATGTGAGCTTGGTGCCAAGCCTCCTGCTCATCCACCTGGCTTCCTCCATAGCACTATTACCATTCTTGCTGCTCAGGATTGCAGTGCAGCATTATTACTGGTGATTCTTGGAAAATGGCATGTTCCCAGAAAGCCGGTCATCTGGCCTACCTTTCCTGCTTTGTAACTGGTGCACATACCCTCAGTTTGGTAGCCATGCTCTCCCTTAGGAGAAGTCCGGTTTGGGCTATACCGAGGGCCAGTTAAGATGTTAGAGGCCCCAAGACCTGAAAATACTTTAATTCCTTCCATCCTTCAGCATAGATAATCTTGACAGCAACCACAACAGCAGTAGCAACAATACGTTTATTATGAATAGCAAACATGTCTACTATATATCAACTGGACACAGGTTTACTGTTAATAGCACCAGACACTATTTTAAGTGTAATGTATGGATGGACTCACCTAATACTACAACACTTTGAGTTGTTATATTATTATTCTGAGTTAATAGATGAGGAAATAAGACACAGAAAGGTTAAGTACATTGCCCAAGGTAACACAGCTGGTAAGTACGTGAGTCAGGGTTTGAACTTCAGGAGTAATGCCAGCACCTGTGGCCTTAGCCACTACTTTGTTAATCAGTAACACTAAACAAAAATACTCAAAACTTATTTGTATGCTGAAGCTGAATAGCATTTTTGTTGTTGTTGTTGTTGTTGTTTTCCAATGGCATATTTTGTAGAAGGGATTTGAAAAGGCTACTTTCTTTTTTTATTTTTTGAGACGGAGTCCCACTCTGTTGCCCGGGCTGGAGGGCAGTGGTGCGATGTCAGCTCACTGTAACCTCCGCCTCCTGGGTTCAAGCGATTCTCCTGCCTCAGCCTCCTGAGTAGCTGGGATTACAGGGGCCCGCCACTATGTCTGGCTAATTTTTGTATTTTTAGTATAGACAAGGTTTTATCATGTTGGTCAGGCTGGTCTCGAACTCCTGACCTCGTGATCCAGCCACCTCGGCCTCCCAAAGTGCTGGGATTACAGGTGTGAGCCACTGTACCTGGCCTTGAAAGGGATACTTCCTTACTTTTATTTGGTGACCCTGATTTGCTAGAACCCTAAAGACTGTTTATGGCTATTATATAGTTTAGTGCTGTGCTGCCCCATCCAGTTCTCGGCCCAACTTCCAGGCTCCTTAGAGGCCTGCCCTCCCCTTTGATCTTCACAAGGTCACAGTTGGTCTGCCCCATTTATCAAGAGGAGGAGGCATCTGCTATCTCACTGGGAGAAAGAAGGGGACAGCACCTCTCTACAGTATTGAGCATAGCTTATATGCTAGGCTTTTCTAAGCACTGCAGACCCAAATATGAACATGGCCTAACCTCTGTCCTGGAGAAACTTACTCCTTCTTAAGTGACAAAGTACCTTCTCAAAGGGCAGTAATGCAGGTAGGAGACTGCTGTGTCCTCAGGCAGAAGGACCTAAGGACTGATTGCCCAGAAATGTAGGCCCCTCTCTCAGCTCCCAGTATGACTGTCGGCAAGCCATTTAACCTCCCTGTGTGAGAGATGATGAAATAACACTTTGATCTTTGGAGAGAAAAAAGCTTTAGAAAAATACCAAATAAGTCCACCCTTACTCGGCACCTCTTAAATTCATGTGGAGGGATAATGTGCCTCATAAAATTCCAGTGCGTCCTTAGTTACAAGGCCACGTTCCTAGACCTGGACTCCCAAGTTTTCAATCATAATATTGTGTCTAGTTTTGTGAAGTGCCTAAAGCAAAAATAACCCCTGAGATTTCTTATAGAGCCTTTTGTCTAAAGAGCTTAAGCATTCTAACAATATACATTCCATTTTTAAAAAATCATATACATTATTTAAAATGTGCAGTTAGAAACCAAAATTGTGTCTAACTGTCTGCTGGAGCCCTGTTTTTGTTCTTTTAGACTGTTTTCTGTAGTGACTTGGGATAAAGCTTCAATACTTCAGCCACCCTTCTTTTTTTTTTTTTTTTTTAGCAGATTCAAAGCAGGATTCCTTATGTCACTCTCCCCTACCCCTGCACCCAGTTCTGTTTTCCTTGTGCGGAGCCCATAATCCAAAATTAGCACTTAGAAGCACCTGGCCCAAATCAAAATTTATATTCCTTCAGCACTCTGTAGTCAGGGAGAGGTTCATTATGTATTTTCAGGTGTGGAAGACTGAGATGACCAGGGAGAAATTTTTCCAGGAGTATTTGCATTTTTAAATTGCAAGTTCAGAAGAAGAAATCCAAAATGATTGAATTTTATGCAAGAAAGAGGTAATCACTGTTCATACCTCTTTACTACCGTGTAGAGAATTGTGTCTGTGGGTGGGCACAGAAGCCACCACAAGAGAGAAGGAAAGAGGGAGCAGACATTTCCCACACACGTTCTGTTTGTCTGGCATCATCCCACTCATCTCTATTAGGTGGACAGGATTGTCACCATTTTACAGATGGCAATTCCAAGGTTCAAAGAAGTCAGGTAATTTCCCTAAGGTTACACAACTAGAAAATAGCAAAACCAAGTTCTGGTCCAAAGCCTTTATGTGACACTGGAAATTAGGAAAACCATACTTGAGTTTCACTTGGATTCACTTCTATTTGGAACAACAGAGCCCCATCATCACCTGCTCTATTCAGTTGAGTTAAAAAAGCAGTTATTGAGCATATCTTATGTGCCAGGCTTTTTTAAGCACTGCAGACCGAAATACGAACATGGCCTAATCTCTGTCCTGAAGAAACTTACTCCTTTTTAAGTGATAAAGTACCTTCTCAAAGGGCAAAACTTATTCAAGTATGATAGGCTTAGGTATAAATACAATTTAATATAATAAGTAATAATACCTAACTTACGGGAACTAAGATTTTCAATGCATTCTCTTACTACATTGTTTAATAATGTAAGAGATGGCTGGGTGCGGTGGCTCACGCCTGTAATCCTAGCACTTTGGGAGGCTGAGACGGGCAGATCACCTGAGGTCACGAGTTTGAGACCAGCCTGGCCCAACATGATAAAAACCCGTCTCTACTAAAAATACAAAAAAATTAGCCAGGGGTGGTGGCGGGTGCCTGTAATCCCAGCTACTCGGCGGGCTGAGGCAGGAGAATCGCTTGAACCCGGGAGGCGGAGCTTGCAGTGAGCCGAGATCAGGCTACTGCACTCCAGCCTGGGTGATAAGAGTGAAACTCCATCTCAATAAAAGAAAAAATAATATAAGAGAGAAGAAATCTTACAATCTCCACTTTATAGATGAGAAAACACTATGTCTGTGCTGTCCAATATGGTGAGATGTGGTTATCTACATTTATTAATTAAAATTAAATAAAAGTACACATTTGGTTCTTCAGTAGCACTAGCCACATTTCAAGTGTTCAGTAGACACCTGTGTCAAGTGGCTATTATATTGCATGGTGCAGATACAGAACATTTTTATCATTGCAGACAGTCCGATTGCACAGTGCTGCTCTAAGTAATTTGCCTACACAAGAATATGAGAGATGAACTTAGGTCTGACTGTAGGGTATATGCTTTGGACTGTTGTGTTATATTGCTTTCTTAATTACACTGAACTTGGAGAGGTGGAGAGAAAGTTAAATGTCTCTTATTTCTTCAAGAAATAAGAAACACTTCAGAAATGGTGGGTGTATTAGGTCATACTTGCATTGCTATAAAAAATACCCGAGACTGGGAAATTTGTAAAGAAAAGGGGTTTAATTGGCTCGCGGTTCTGCAGGCTGCACAGGAAGCATAGTGGCATCTGTTTCTGGGGGACCTCAGGAAGCTTCCAATCATGATGGAAGACAAAAAGAGAACACTTCACATGGCGAAGGGAGGAATGAGAGAGAGAGTTGGAGGGTGTGGGCCACACACTTTTAAACGACCAGATCTCGGGAGAACTCACTCACTATCCCGAGGACAGCACCAAGAGGATGGTGCTAAATCATTAAAGAGAAATCCACCCCCGTGATCCAGTCACCTCCCACCAGGCCCCACCTTCAACATTGGGGTTTACATTTTAACGTGAGATTTTGGCTGGGTACAAATATCTAAGCTATATCAGTAGGGAGCTAGTGATATACCAACAGAATTTCCATTGCACTCTTTCTGTGGTCCCTCTAAGAACTGGAAATTGTTTCTTTTTATGCATCAGGAAAGTTTGTACTTGCTATTTGATTGCCTTTTTCTGGAACCAGATGGTGACTTTTGCTAGGAGTTATTCTAAGATTATGCCTTATTTACTTTTAAGCCACATTTCCTAATATAGCACCTGGTACAAATAGGCACACAATGAACTAAATTTTAAGAAAGACAACTATAATATCTGCCAGTCTTAAAAGAATTGTAGTAAAGAAGAGAAACATCAGTGCACATCCTTATGATTCCTAAGGGGAAAAAGCAAAGAAGATTTTCCCCAATGCAACATCCAGGTTCCTGGCTTTATTAAAAAAAAAAAAAAAAAAAAAGGTGACTTTTTGTAGCTATACTGTGATAGGGATATAAGAAGGAGTGATCATAAGAATTGCCTAAAATCTTATCTGGGTCAGATTTTACAGTATGCTATTTTAAATCTAAACTAAAGAAACTCTGTATATGGCTCCAAAACAAGCCCTGAGAAAAAGTTGCCTCACTACCAAGTTAATTCCCCTTATCATCTTATGCAGTGAAAGCAAACTAAGTCACCTGTCTGCAACGCATCCCAGTGTGTTATCCCACATTACTTGCATTTACCCATCAACTGTTGTGTGAAAGCTGAAAAACGCACCCTATTTTGGCTCCCAGCTCATCCTCCTGCTTCCTTTTATTAATGCAAAGTCTTCACCTCTGCCACTCATCTCCCTTTCCTTCTCTTCGTGATTTAGCTAAAGTGTTGGCTTCTGTGTCATTTAGAGCAAACAAAACCTAAAGAAATATGTTTTAAAAGACAGATGTGCAGATTTTGGATGGGAAGCAAATGTTGGATGCTCAGTCAATTCCTCGTAAAGGCTTTAATTTACAACAAAAATAAAAAGGAGTTGTTCAACGCGTAGTGTGAAGAGTCAGCTTTGAAAACTGATAAGAGGAGAAAAATGCCAGACTCATTTTGAATTTGAACTTAACAACCAGAACCCTTATTTCTTCATAGCAAAATGATGGCTACTTTCTTGGACTGAGTTAAGAATTTCCCAGAGACATTTCACCGAGGCTCCTTTGTGGACCTGTTTCTGCAGGCTTTAGAATCCCCCTAGCAGGGCTTATCAGAGAAGATTCCAATTTAGAGCAGCAAAAGTTTAGTGTCTGATATCAGCTCTTGGTTTTTTTTTTTTTTTTAAATAAAAAGGAGACATGATGTTTTACAGTGTTAACAGCTTTGAAAGGTCTTGTATTTCCAGTGAACAGAGCACATTTGTGAAAAGGACTCTAAAAAGCATTATTCAGGCAAAAATGTATCAAAGGGATGGGAGTTAAAAAGAAAAAAGTTTGCTGATGTAGAGATTGGAGGCAGCATGTACTGACAGGTGCAATTATGGCCAAATAATTGAATCTTTTTGGAGAGATCTGGTGAGATAAGGCAATAGTTGTGAACTCACATCGGGAACCTGTTCATAATTAGATACTCAGGGGTTCGGCTGTGGATGATACAACCAAAGTAGGGATCTCAAACTACTTTACATGCAGGACACAGCGCAGTGGCATTTGCACTTTGTAAAATAGAGTTTAATAGCATAATTTCAGCCCAACAGACCTTAATTGGCACAGAGGTTAGAGAGAAGGCTTTGCAGTTTGCATTCTCCCTCAGACTCCCCATAGCCTGGAACCCCTCTCTGCCCCAAAGAGTGGAGGTGACTTCAGCTTCTAAGTCCTCTGCAGAGAATCTAAAAAAATGTAAACTTTTCAAAGTTAATGAATTGCTTTTATTAGTAATGTTAAAAATCTTTGCTCTTTGTTTGAAGAGTTTCCAGGCACTTCAATTTCCTTTGTCTACATGTACCTGAGCCAAACACAGTGGGATAGAGAACAATATGGTGTTTATTTCTGAGAAAGTTTCACCAAAGACATAAAATATAATAACCTTGTTCCTGGTCTTGAAATACAGGTGCTTAAAGCCTTGGCCCCATGACATGCTATGTCCACACTTTGTTCAGGAATCTGAAGGGAAGTTCTTTCTCAGGGTCTCTGCGTGGAAATGGAGCTGAGAAGTGGGCACAAGTTAGCAAAATACAGCATGGTCATTTCTACTTATAACAGAGCAAAGAGTATCTCTGAGGTTCCATTAATAATTCTGCTAGACAACTCGCTTCAGGCTTTCATTCTTAATGAAACAATATAACTTACTCTGCTGTATTGTATGATTTTTTTCTTCCAAATTTATAATTTCTTTTATCCTCTTCTATGTGTAGTTAGATTACTTTGTCATTGCAATGGTATTAAAGGTTCTTAAGTTGGCTAGTGAGTTACAGGTTTCTGATAATGACGTCTTAACACTCAGGTGATAGCTCCTTTTTCTATCATGGAGAACTGACTCCTGAATGTCTTTGGATCTCTAGTATTTTCCTAACTGCTAACTTTTCACCTTACGTTCTACCAGTAAGCTTTCGGACTCCATTAGTGTCTAAGTAGACAGAAGACTGTCTTTTGGATTGGCTTTCTTCAAGTATTTAACAAGTTCAAAGGTAAATTCTGTACTGCACCAAGCATCTACCACCACTGTAGCTTTGACCTACCCTATTCTCTTCTTACATTATGAAGCATTTAGCACAGTGCCTGGCTCATAGTAAGCATTCACTGTAATTGTTACTTTAGTTTCCGCTCACCTTGTTTATGTCAATGAGAGAATACTCATCATCTTCAGTATTTTCTTGGAGTTTGACATAGTGACTAATTTAAAATTATTGTTGCCACATCTTCTGCCTGGATCAGTGGGAGATCTTTAGCATTTACATCATGAGCCACAATGGAGGTTTTCAGATTTTTCCATGGTAGGTTACTTGATCTTAATTCCAATATTGGTGCAGGCGGCATGACCTTTTAAAAAAATTGATCGCAAGAATGAGTCCATAGGGTCCACTCCCGGCTTAGAACTACTGGACTTGTAACTGAATCAAATGCACATGGAGAATGAATTAGTTACCCATCTACCTCTCAGTCACCACCTTTAATTATTCTTCAGTATCATGGTGTAATTTTAGTGGAATTAAACTTGAACAGCTCTAAATTACATAATCACATTCAGTTGTAGTTTTAAGTACTAGTTGCTTGAAGCTTGCTAGGAGAGCTCCTAGAGTCATCAGTTATCACAGTGAATCTCAGCCCTGGCTGTGTCTTATTATCACCTGGTGAGAGTTTAAAAAAAATGCTCAGGTTTACCTCAGGGAGCCTGATTGAATTAGTCTAAGGCAGGGCTTAGCCATTCGGTATTTTTAAAATGCTCCTCAAGTGATTTGGAAAGTTGAGAAGCACTGGGTTGGAGGAAAAGAGACTTAGGAAATACTGACTACATTTTTACTTGTGCTAGCTAGCTTGGCTAAACTCTCTTCCTACGGCCTAAGCTATGTACGCCCCAGCCCCTTTCTTGCTTACACCATACCTGCAAATTGAAACAACAGAGAGCAGAAAGAGTGTAGCTTTGGAGTTCAAAAAATTTGATTTCAAACCTTGTCTCTGGGCTGGGTGCAGTGGCTCATGCCTGTAATCCCAGCACTTTGGGAGGCCGAGGTGGGCGGATCGCTTGAGGTCAGAAGTTCAAGACTAGCTTGGGCAACATTGTGAGGAACCCCCACCCCCACCCCCACCCCCGCCCCTGACATTTCTACAAAAAATTAGCCAGGTGTGGTGGCATGCGCCTGTAGTCCCAACTACTTGAGGGGCTGAGGTGGGAGGATCGCTTGAGCCCAGGAGGTCCAGGCTGCGATGAGCTGTGATTGCACTACTGCACTGTAGCCCGAGCAACAAAGGGAGACCCTGATTAAAAAAAAAAAGTCTCTGTCTTTGCCAAAAGTGTGGTAGCCTAGGAAAAGATTCTTAGATTTACTAAATTTTAGCTTCCTCATTTGTTAAATTGGAATAATAAAGCTTCTCTTATTTATATTTATTATTCCTTTATAAAACACGTAAGGAAAGATTCAGTTACCAATGTGACATGAAAACATTTAGCACAGTACCTAGTACATAGTAGGAGCTCAGTATATTCTCTCTCTCTTCTTTATTTTTCATTTCTTCATATGTAAAATGAAGGGCTTGGATTACATTTAAATGCCCCTATACCCTAAAATCCAGTGAATCTGCTTCTTTGCCATAAGCAATGTGATTGAAGAATAACCACCTCGTATGCCTTTTGTTTTAAAAAACAAATTCAGTTCAGTTCATGTACCAAAAAAGAAGTTATTGACACAGTTGACAAGGGATGAATTTGGAGTTTGTTTCAGTATCCTGTCCACTATTCTCAAGTGGCTGCCCTTTCAACCTTCTCTCTATGAAGTAACTGGCCAAGATTGGGGATACGGTTTGAGTTGTGGGAATAAGATTTTTTGATTGAGTGATTGAGTGATGCTATCTGTTTTATGTGGGCATCAATCTTGGCCCTTGACCATCATTCATTTGCTTCAACTGTGTGACCATCCAACATACTTTTTAATTGTAATAATGGTAGCACCTGGTATTTGTATTCTAGCAGCTATTTGAAGTGATAGATTTCAGAGGAGTACAAGTGAAATCAAAACTATCTTTTAATTACTACCTAGGTAATTGGTGTTTTTTTCAGTCAATAATTTAAAATGTTCCTGCATCTCAATCCATTCCCAGACAACCATAGGGGAATTCAATCCATTACAGCTTGGTATCACGGAACAGTTCATTATTCATGGCAATGACTCAGGAAGGCATCTGCCTTGTATTGTCGTGAAAGATACCTGTCTTTTGCTCACTTTCCTGGCTCCAAATGAAAGCTCAGGCAAATGAGAGAGGTTCCAGGCTTCTATTATTACCTAGTTCAGGCTAACCAAAGCAGAGAACTGGGAGATTTTCTAATGTGTTATCACAAGAGAGTTGCTTATATTAGAGCCATAAATCATCTACTGGAAAAGCAACTTTGATGATGATGACAATAGAATCCTCTGCCATTACCCATTGCCTGGCAGAGTGTAACAGAGTTGCAGTGCACCTTAAGGGTTAACAGCAAGAGTTGAAAAACATGACAAATTGGATTCCAATTTTGTCTTCCTCACTATCTATAGCAAGAAACAGCAATTTTTTTCTGTAAAGGGCCAGCTAGTTAATTATTTTAGCCCTATGATCTCAGTCACAACTACTCAACTCTGCAGTGTGATCAAAAGCAGCCACAGATAATACACAAATGAATGGGCATGGCTATATTCCAATAAAACTTTATTTACAAAAACAGGCAATGGACCAGATTTGGACCATGGCTGTTGTTTGCCTATCCCTGATCTACAGGATCCTGTGCTAACAAGTTACTTTAATTCTCTAAAGGTTGTTTTGAGAATAAAAGATATAAAGCATACAATAAAACACTTACCATGTACTTGGTATATAGTAAGAGCTTGAAAATAGTAGTTGCTTTTATGTTATTAAAACATGGTATATCATATGTTTTAAGTGCTGTTGATTATGAGATGCAGTGGGATTTCAGACATATTAAAATGATTAAGAAGTCCCAGCATTGATGAACTGTAGTAACTAATTAATTACAGTGACAAGGTCTTATTTAGGTTTTTAAGTCTTGTTCTACCAGTGGTAATTTAAAGCTTCTTATTTAACACGTCTTTGTGATGTCTTTTTTGTCAGAGACACATGCCATGAACTCTTGGGACATGTTCCACTACTTGCGGATCCTAAGTTTGCTCAGTTTTCACAAGAAATAGGTCTGGCGTCTCTGGGAGCATCAGATGAAGATGTTCAGAAACTAGCCACGGTGAGTTCATTTTCAACTTAAAACCAGTGCTATTTATGTCCATTTGTAAGGTAAAGAAAGCTTCAGGATTATTGACTATGAGTTATAGGTAAATGTTCTGGAGAAAACATGGTGAATTTACCTTTTCCTATGTTGTATTCTTTTGAAGCACAATGAGTTATCAGCTTATTGACCACCAAAACATTTGTATTTTATCATTCTTGTTCGGGGGTCAGCTAGAGATAAAGGGCTAGATAGTAAACATATTAGGTTTGTGGGTCGTAAGGACTCTGTCAGAATTACTCAGCTTAGCCACTGTGGTATGAAAGCAGCCACAGACAACAAATAAGTAAATAAATGAGTGTGACTGTGTCCCAATAAAACTTTATTTATAAAAGCTGGTGGTGGGCAGATTTAGCCTGTGTGCTGTGGTTTGCTGACTCTCACAGAAATATTAGTAATAGTAAAAGGTATACATATATGATAAAGTAGGGGTTGCACCTGAAACTCTCTCTGATTATTCTAGGTGGTTGTAGTCAGACATAATTTGAGTCAACAAGCAATAAGACACTGAGGCTCAACAATTATTCTAAGTACAAAACCAGGAAAAGATTTAATGGATGTTATAGTATCTTCCTAAAACTGAAGTTCTTCTGAAAACAAGCAATATGAGAGAAAAGGTTTAATGTTGGCTGCTACCTTTAAGATGCTGAAGGGCCAGATCTAGCATGCTCATATGCTGTACCCTAGCTCCATTTCTAAGGGCCCAGGAAGAGAAAAAGCAGTTTTAGCCAACCCATTACCTACAGGGACCAGTCAGTTAGCCTAGTGAGCAAAACCACCAAGGGATGAAAAATGCGATCTTAAATTGTATGTATTCAGCACAGGTACACCACAGTGGCATATTTGATATGCAGGAATATTCTTCATTTCCACCCAGAAATAAGTTTTCTCCTAGATTTCTTAAAAACACACAGATCTTTCAGTACATCTTTTGTTTCCTACTTTTGATAAAAATATAGGAACTGGGAGATATTTCTCAACTAAAAGATAAATAGCAATGCAGAAGCCATCTAAATGGCAAGGACCTCTGGGGTCAGTATGGAGATGAATAGGCTCTGGTGGGGGCTGTGGTGGACAAGGACAGCATGTCTCTTGTATAGCAGGTTCTCAGCTTTTACTGCTTGTTGCCAGAGATGGGATGCAGGACTTTGTGTTGCTAGAGATCTCCTAAATTTTTTAGAGAGACTGGCAATCTAGATTTCTCAATGAAATTTAATGATTTTTAAATGTTGGCTTATTAAAAAAAGTCCCACCATTATAGCTGAAGAAAATATATTTGTAGACTGAATCTAGATCTTGGCTTCCAATTTGTAACTTCTGGTATAAGGATTGTGTCTCATTTGTATTGGCTATCCATCACGATATAATAAATTATCTCAAAGCTTAGTGGCTTAAAACAACAAACATCTATTATATCATAATTTCTATGGCTGGAAATTTGAAAGCAGCTTAGCTGAGTGGTTCTGGCTCAGGGACTCTCAGGACGTTGTAGTCAAGATGCTGGCTGGGCCTGTAATTGTCTGAAGGTTTGGGAATTGGCTTCCAAAATGGCTCACTCATGTGGCTATTGGCAGGAGGCCTCGGTTCCTCACCGTGTGGGCCTCTCCTTAAGCTACTTATGACATAGCCACTGGCTTCCTCCACAAGTGATGACAGAGAGTGAGAGCAAGGAGAAAGCTGTGATGTCTTTTGTGGCTTGATCAGATGCTGTTCACATTGGCCATATTCCGTTCATTAGAAGGGACTCATTTCAGCCCACGCTCAACTGGAGTGGAATTAGTTTTCACCATTTAGAAAAAGGATTGTCAAAGTATTTGTGGATATATTTTAAAACCACCATATCATAAGTTGTTTAGTTCTGAAACCTTGGTTCTGGTTTTAAATGCCTTGTTTTGGAACCTTTTCTGTGCATTTCAAACTTGCCTTGAAATTTTCTGGTTTCAGTCTTTGACTCCCTTCTGCCTATACCCTTGATCACGGAGCAAGATATATCGCTCACTTGTCTGACCTTGAATAGCCATAAACTGATACTTAATGGCCAGGCTGTGTGGAGCTGATGTGTGTGTGTGTGTGCATGTGTGCATGTGAACATGGGCATCTAAATAGAGGAGAAGAAGAAATAAGGCAGGAGTTTATGGATGTAAATGGAGGTGGATCCTCCTTGTGAGTGCAGTTAGTCCTTTTTCTAAAACAGTGACATGAATACCATTTTATTGTCCTTTTTCAGTCCATCAAATTATGATTAATTAATTCCATCATTCAAATTACATTTATAAGGAATGTGACAATGTTCTCCTCACTTTTTGGAAATTTATAGCTTATATCGACAAAACAGATTTTTTAAGAGGATAGTTTGTACTGAATCTTTAAAGATGAGAAAAGATAGTCAAGTGGAGAAGAGTGAAAGAGGGAATAGAGGAATAGTTTTAGTCAGAATAATTTCTCTGGTTTGGCAGGGCTGTGTTCCTTTATGGGGGCTCTGGGGTATGAGCCGTTTTGTTGCTTTTTCCACCTTCTTGAGGCCGTCTGCATTCCTTGGCTCATGGCTTTCTTCATTCCTCTTTAAAGCCAGCAACGCTGCATCTCTTTGATCTTGTTTCTGTCATCACATCTCTCTCTCTCACTGACCAAGACTGGGAAAAGTCCTGTGCTTCTAACGGCTTCTATGATTAGATTGGGCCCACCTGGATAATTTATGATAATCTTCCCGTCTCACTATGTATGGCCATCATCAACATCTGCAAAGGTAACATATTCACAGGTTCTGGGGATTAGGCCATCAAAATCTTTATGGGATCATTATTCTTTGTTTCTACTTTTACACTTTCTGGGAAAAATGAATACTCATACCTTGAAATCTATTTTACTAGGCCAACAAATTTGTAGGATGAGTAAGTTTTCTTTAGGAGCTTGCATTCCTTAGGATAATTCCAATACTCTTGGCCTTGGGTTGCTTGAGCTCCAACAGCTAAAAACACTTCCATCTAGTAGAGAACATTAGGCCATTAATCATGTTTCACCATCTCTTTTTCTCTCCCTCTCTCTTTTATTGTCCTTTCCCTGAAATGTACCTGCTTTTTTGCAAAAGCCAATTTAAGCTACCAGGCATTCTTTAAATGGCTAAAGGATCCTAGGTACCATGAGGTAGGGACAGGGGGAAAAAAAGAGGTGGTAGTTTCTTCAAGAAAGTCACAGTCTAGTACCCCAAAATACAAAAAACCCAGAGTCAGTATTATTTTTTATTTATATACATGAGTAGTTATGTAGAAGAAATGGATTTAGCTGAACATTCACCATGTGTGAGTGAGTTCTGAGTTCAGTGTTGGAGGCTGGGCTTCAGGATAGGGGGCAGGAGCTAGAAGAGATGGTCTTCTCTATATAGGTCATGGCTAGGAAGGATCAAGTGTCCTTCCAAGGAGGCCAACCTACCTGCAGTCTTATGATGACTTTGAAAGTTTAAAAGAAAGTGTAAACTTGCAAAGGACTTAACATAAATGCTTTAAATGCAGTGAAGAATTTGGGATGGAGTAGGGGTGGGTGTTTGCCTCACCATGGTTTTGACTGATTCACTCATTTCTCTTTTCTTGATATTGCTTGAGCTCCCACCCCAACTCACTCTGACTTTCTGTCTCTCATGACCCTTCCAGTTCCAAATTTTCCCAATTCTATAGGCTGCCCGTTTACTTCGAATAGTGTTTTGCAGACCAAAGAGAAATTTGGAAGGATTTTTCTGTATGATGTGGAGAGTATGGAGGAGGATAACCTCACACAGTGTGAGGAGGCTAAGGGAGATTGTTCCTGAAATGATACTAAAACTGCTATTGACTTCAAGAGCCACATACCATCCATCAGTTAAAAACAAAGTGAATAGAAAATTGCCAGAAGATAGTCTTGAAAAAAAACCCCACAGATTCCAACCAGCCAATTTCAAAGTAAGCCCTGGAATAAATAACCTGTTGGATACCATGCATGTTAATGAACCTCAAACCATATACTGAAACTAGAAGGCAAATTTAATGACCCACTTGCAGAAACAAAAATATTAAGAGCTCAGGTCTTACTGGCAGGGATAAAAAGTCTATGGCAGGGGGATAATGGTAGCTAGCAAGGCCAGATGAGAAATAGAGGTATTATTAGCTGATTTCCTCAAAGTTGTTCACATTAAGTCTTCTGAAGAAGTAGAGGAAAATGAGCAATGAGATGCACCAAAGGAGAAAAATCTATAGAGAGGACAAATGGAAAGCCATGGAAATCACTATTTATGCAGAACAATGAGACAGGCCATATTACTCTTTGACTCTAGGTGAGATTTATATTATTAATGACTCTTTTTCTATAGTGCCTGCTTTTCCTTATTTAGTGAATTTAAGCACTTATGAAAAAGAGAGTCATGCCTAGTGAAAGCAGACATGTAATAACTTTCTGTGATGTGCTATCGACAAATCCATCTAAAGAAGAAAACCACCTCCACTAGGACTAATCGGCACCGCCAAACTCTTTGTCCAAAGCAGCTTTTGAACTTCTTGGTCTGATTTTCCGAGGTACTAGACTATATTGCCTATGGCTCTTCTATCTCCTTGCTATATTTCTATAGAATATTTATTTTGACATTTTAATAATGCTCAGTTTTGAGAATAAAGCTATCTCTGCTATTTAATGTGGGCAATGGTTTCTATGCCCTGAGAACCATTTAAATGAACTCTTTTGTATCTGAAGAAATTGATGACAATGCTTAGAAAACATATTTCAAATGCATTGTTATACATGTAAATAATTTGCCCTCTGGTGGATAATAAATAAGACCACTGGTTGTGGCAGCATTACTCTGTTTCATACTCATCATAGCTGTCCGAGGTCTGTGTGTGATAGATATGCAAAAATATTCCCAATAAAGACTGCTTAGAGTGTGTTATAGTTTTGAGACCTGCTATTTACCACTGTAGCACTAGTGGAAGTGAATTTAATAGATTAGTGTGTATGTTAGGAGTTGTAAACTTAAATGTTACTTCATTGGCCAGCTAGGTAGCACACGTGTGAAATAGCCTGATATAAGATAATAAGGAGTATCAGAGCATGTGGACAACTGGAGAATGTATATATTATGCTAAAGGGCTTCAAATTCCAAAACTAAAAGAAAACAAAAGGTTCTTTGGCTGCAAGTGATGTCTGCAAAAAGCTGAAACAGAACTACAAGGCTCTCAATTCTCTGTCCTTATATCTAAAATTAAATTCTACCTTAGACTATACTATCCTTGAGGGACAAGCCCATGCTAGATTCTTCTTTATATCACATTGTACATTCTCAATTACAGTTTTCTGGACAGCACAATATTTTTCCTAAGAAAAGACAGCTATTACAGTGTTCAGTAGAGATAAGTATCTTATTGTGGTTGAGAGGTGACTTGCCTTTGAGTCATAACTTTAAACCTGTTACAAACACGACTCTCATACATATGCATTGAACATGTGTCAAAGATTTATTTAAAACCCATTAATGAGGGAGGGAAAAGCAGGATGGTAAATCTAGTTCAAAGAAGAATTTGAGGGACCAAGAATATATAGTCACTGAAGGAAAGAATCCTGAAATAAGATGCAAAATGGTTAATGTTCTACAGGGCAATAAAACCATAACCTTGAGGTTATCTTTTCTACTGGGCAGAAATTATTTGCATGTCTTGTGGACAAAATAATTTGCAATTTGTCAGTCTTCACAAATTAACATTGAACTTTACAGTCTGTGGACCCTAATCAATAATAAATAGGAAGTCAGACAAAGATTATATCCCCTTGATCAGTGCTTCTCAAAATGTGATGTATACGAAGTAACCTGAGGATCATGTTAAAATGCAGATTCTGATGGAGTGGGTCTAGAGTGAGGCCTGAGACTTGGCATTCCTGACAGATCTCACATCATGCTGCTGCTGCAGGTTCAAGGACCACATTTCAGTAGCAGGAATGGTGGGTGGCATTTTAGACATGCAGATCCATTAGACAATAGGAGAGTATGTCTTTCGAAAGGCACATAGTAATCTTTCATCCTTATTTCCATATTTTGCCTGCTTTTCTAACAACTGGATGAACAGGATATCACCAGATAAATATCATGCAGTATGAGATGAGTGTATTTATGACTTATTCAAGCCCTGAAAACAGACCTTTCATCTATGAGAGCCATGTCATTGCTTCTGTTTTGTGTCTCTGCTCTCATCCTCTTCTGTCTGCTGTTTTTCCATATGACTTACATTATTTATTTTTATACAAATACACAAACAGAAATTTACTGATCAGATGAATTTAGGAAATAGTCCCTGAAATATATTGATTTCTCTTCCCCCAAATGTTAGAAAATGTAAAGGGGCATCTTTCGTCAAACAGTACATCCCATCCTATGATGCAGATGGCTTCAATTCAGTCTATTCATTTCTCATATCATAAAGGCATTTGAAACAGACAAAGCTGTGCATCATCTGTGGGGGAAGCAATCAGTGTGAATACACCACAGATGTTTCCAAAGCAGAATAAATCGGCCTCTGGCCCAGTTGGAATTTTTCCTCCACAAGAGTTTTAGGTGATCCATTCTGTTCTGTCAACCCTGAATCATGTTTACCTTCACTTTCTGATTGAAAGATTTGTTACTGGATCTCAGTAATGCTGATGAGAGAAGAGTCTTGGCTAAGGGTAATGAGGGAGTAAGGAGTCTTTCCCAGAACCGGTTCCTGGAATGTTAGCCTTATGAAATGGCATTATGAGTTCTGTAAAAGGAGGGACCCATGGGCAAATGTATTTGGACAACACTAGCTTAAATAAACAGCTTTGTGTTCTTTTTTTTTTTTTTTGAGACAGAGTTCTCTCTCGTTGCCCAGGCCAAAGTGCAATGGCGTGATCTCAGCTCACTGTAACCTCCGCCTCCCAGGTTCAGGTGATTCTCCTGCCTCAGCCCCCCGGGTAGATGGGATTACAGGCATGTGCCCGGCTAATTTTTGTATTTTTAGTAGAGATGGAGTTTTGCCATGTTGGCCAGGCTGGTCTCGAACTCCTAACCTCAGGTGATCCATCCACCTCGGCCTCCCAAAGTGCTGGGATTACAAACTTCTTAGAAACATAATATGTGGAGTGAATCTCCAAAAGTGATAAAAAGTTATTTTTCTAAACTTACCATATCTCCTCCATTTGAAGGTGCCATTGGTTGTAAACCATTTTGTTAATTTAATAGTGGCTTTTTTTTTTAGAGGGAAAAGATTCAGCTAGCTAAATTTTTGATATTGTAAGATGAAGCTCCATTTTGGAAATGTTAAAGTATAAAAAAAGTGAACTTGGGAATTGTTGGTCAAAGGGTACAAAGTTTTAGATAGATAGAAGGAATAGGTTTTGAGGTCTATTGCACAGAAGGGTGACTATAGTCAATAATAATGTCTATTTCAAAATAACTAAGAGAGTAACTTTCAAAAGTCTCACCATAAAAATAATAGGTAGGTAAGTGAGATAAATGGACAGGTTAATTAACTTGATTTAATCATGCATGTCACATACAAATACCAAAACATCACATTGCATCCCATAAATATATACAACCATGATTTGTCAATCAAAAATAATATTAGAAAAAGATAAATGCCATGCAAAGAGGGTCTGGCTGTTCATACTCCCAGGCGAGAAAGAAAGGGTGGCCAGTGCTTACAGTTATAAGCAGAATCACAGGTGTCACTGGATGAGGGAGGGGGAGAGAGACAGAGACAGAGAGAGACAGAAAGGGAAGAGAAAGAGACAGCAAGAGACAGACAGAGAAAATGAGAATACACTGTAGTAATCGTAAATTAGAAATTGGTTTTTTATCTGACCAGGAAAAGGGTGGAAGAACCGTGGCTACATCTGAGCTCTGATAATGGCAAGGTTAGAACGCTAAACATTTAGATACTGATTGCTATGGAGTGCACTTGACAAGTAATACAAATCTTAGAAACAAAACAAAACACAAAAAGGAAGAAAATACATTATACGGTCACAGTGGTCTCTTTTTAGGAAATGCATATTAGCATGCCAAGCTTTTAGAATTCCAAGAAACACATTTTAGGAGATATAAATCTAGAATGTTTTTTGAAAGGGCGAAATTCATTGTGAACATGACCAGACCATCACCTATTTTATTTTACTTTTTTTTTTTTTGCAGGAAAGAAGTGTCAGGAAATTAATAATACAGGGTTCTGTTTGTACTTTCCTTGATTAAAACAAATAATTTATTTGTTCCAAGTAAAAGAATTTGCATTGATTGGGGCTTTTGGTGGTCATGAATCACGTGTATTTGAATTTTCAGGATAACCAGTACTTTCTCATGCTGAGAGTTGTAATGAAATGTACAGTCAGTCTTAAACTAATAATCAACTATAATTTATGTTAGAAGTGTAATTATAAAGGTAACCTTAGTTTATAAATTGCTAATTAATATTTTCCTCCCTGCTGAGGATATTAGCTTGTTTCCTGGTCCCTCTTGTCTTTGCCTACCTGGCTGGGGATGGGGAATCTTTGGATGCTGAAAGACTTATGCACAGCTGTAGTTCTTTCTGAACATGGATGACATTAAAAATGACCACTTTAGTATCTCTACAGAAAGCTTGAAATAAGCCTCAGGCTTATTTATTCCATGTAGAGTCTTTGAACTATTTCAGCTGTTTGGATCATTTTATACAAAGCTGACAAAGGGCTGGGGGGAATGCACTTTTATACATTCTTAATTGAGATGTTTGTGTGGATGATCAGTTTCTGTGTTATTTTTAAGAGTAACTTAATTAAAAGTTAATAATATCTATTCCAAGTCATTACTTTCACTTTTATGTCTGCTGTACATATAGAAGAGTAGTAGCATCTTGCAAGAAGTGCTCAAATTCTTTAACTAGTCACATAGACCTTAACTTCTGTCCTTTTTCACTATTTTCACCACTACCTTATCTTGGTCTTCCTTTTTCTACCTGGGTGCTCTGAGGCTACACTTTCTGCTGACTAATTCTCTCCTGAGAACTTTGATATTGTAGCCCAGGCTGTTTTGTTCTACTCATATGTGCATGTTTCCTTTATGATATTTGTTGTTGCCATTATGAGGTGTTTGCCATCTATTTATATTATGATGAGAACACCACAGTCATCTGGAATTGGAAAACAAACAGGAGCTCTGCATTGCCCACTATGTTCAGAAACAAATACATTTGCAATCTGGAATAGTTATATATTTTTGCAACTCAAATCTTTCTTTGTTATTTAGAACTGTATGCTAGGGCTCTCAGAGAGCCATCATATAATTGCAGATGAGAAACAAAGCAACACAATCCTATTTTAGATATTTGGAAACTCATAAAGATAGAACTACCTTGGTAACTCTTTATTCTCTGTTCATGTGCTGAGTTGAGTGCTGAACCCACCATGCTTTGCACACACTTCATTTTATCCATGCAGAAGCACCATAGTCAACAGCTGGGATCTCTCAGCACTCATCCCAGCTCAATGAAGATGCTATTCGGGATGTTTGATGTACAGTATGTGGTGTGGTGCAATGTGGTGAAAAGAATCTGAACTTGAAGTTAGCACAGCTGGGTTTGAGTGTTAGATTTGTTACTTCCTAAACTTGTGCTCAGCTTAGGCACAAAGAAACAAATTATATTACCTCTTTTTGTCTCAAATGTCATCTTTCAATTGAAGATATTCTTCTACTGCCCAATGTTGAATAAAGAGTAAAGGAGACGGCATACTTTAATGATGTACATATGACATTATCTATGTCATACCCAGGTCTGGAAATACTTCTTCTCATCATTACCTAAAAAATTCTAACTGCACCAAAGGAGGTGTGTTATTGGATATCTAATTTTAAAGTCATTTTAAGTCCCCCAATTCTCTAGTTTTTCCCATAATTCAAAAGTCCTGATATTGCGGACTTCTTACTTTTTCTTCTCAAAGTAAGCTAGAATACATTCATTAAGCACAGAAGATTTCTGCAGTCATTTTAATTTCCATAAAGATGTATAAAAGAAAGGGTTTTCTGGTTTAACTACAATGGAGTAGGCTCTCAAAATCTTAGACTTGTATTAACAGAAATATCTGTGGTGTAATTCCATTTCTAGCAAAAGCAGAAAGAAGATGGTTGGGACTTTTTTATGAGCTAGAATAGCAGAGGTAATGTTATATCAAACTATAGGGATTTAATTACCCCATTCCACAAATGTAGTTTTCAAATAAAGGAGTCAAAAGGATTTCTAAAGCTATTCTTCTGAACTGTGATATAAAAACCCAGAATACATTTAGTAGATGTAAAATGTATTACTGTACATTAGGAGCCACCACAATGAATGGTATCACAATAAGAAACACGACATGAGATTGAACACACAGTGATTAGAAATCTCTTGGCTGTCTTCTTAGAAATATTGCAATTTGCTTAGAGTTTTATATGCTTGCCACTGTAAGGATGGGCATTTCTGGACTGTTTCTGATGGGTGAATTTCACACTGGGGAAACGTCTCCTAGAAAATGGAAATGCTGTCATTTGAGGGCTTAAATCCAGACTAGGGGTAAGTAAGAAATGCTGTTAGGTTTGGGAGGAGTAAATCACCTTGTGAGGGGGGTGCTCATCATTTTTTTCAGGATCTGAAAGTCTGTCCTTTAGAACGTCCATAAAAAATCATCTCTTCAGCAATGAAGAGGAGGCTAATGCAGGGTGACTCAGGGACTTCTTTACTGAGGGGGCTTTAAAGTCTTTACAAAAACCTCTTTTCCTCTTTCTTATTAAAAAGATAACATATATTTATTGTAGAAAAAATTTAAAACATAGATAAGGAAGGAAAATAAAGATCATCTGCACTATCACAGCAGCAATAAACACTCTTAACATTTTGGCATATAGTCTTCTAGCTTTTCTGAAAAGTCATTTTGCCAAGTCAAATAAGAACTTAGTAAATGGAAGTTCTGGCATTGGAAAAAGGAGCATCGA